>NC_000010.11:5464545-5616060 GCF_000001405.40 Homo sapiens | reverse complement strand
GAGAGTCTAGGGGTCCCGGAAGGCTTTGTGGAGCTGCCGTGCTAGCTGCCATCCAGGGTGCCAGCTATGGGCAGGCACTGTGCTGAGTGACCCCTGGACATCAGCTCACTTAATCTCTGTAACAACCCGGAGTCTGCTCAGAGCATGGCCCATTGGCTACCTAAGTGCGGTGCCAGGCACGGGCCATGGACGTTCCCTGGGTGAATGGCTGACCATGATACCCACTGCAAAACAAGGAGGCTGAAACCCTGGAAGAAAAGAAGCTCATCAGCAGTCCCTGAGTCCGGGAGTCAGATGACAAACCCAGGACCCCAGGGGTTAAGAGTCCAAGCCTGGACACCAGAGAGGCCAGGCTGGATGGGGCTGGGCCTGTGAATGCATGGGTTTGGATATGGAGATAAAAATATTTCAGAGGCTGTTGGGAGAATGAAATAAAATATAAACTTGCTCAGCACAGGCCTGGCCTGCAGTCACCGTGGAATAAATTACCATTCACAGAGCTGCGCTCTGATGCTGGGTCTGTGGGTGCCTGCTGCGGTCATGGTGTGCTTTCCCTGGGCGCTTTCCAGCATCCTCCCTGAGAGCTGCTTCTTCCTAAAGCTTTGGGCTAGGTTTACACATCCTCCTGTGTCAATACAACGTGACGTGTACAGGAACCTAACTACGGCTTTTCAGTGAAGATGTTCATGTTTCTGAGAAAAACAGGCCTATTGAAGTAGCCTCTGTGTTTAAGTTAGAGCCTGGCTTTAACCTGCTGACTGTGGTCATTGAATGACAAACAGAAAAAGTGACCAAATGGTTTAGTAACTTACTCTATCTGAATACTTTGGGAAACAAAATGGACATTTGGGCTAACAATGAAAGGAAGGAAAGAAGGAAGGAAAGAAGGAAGGAAGGAAGGGCCAGGCACGGTGGCTCATGCCTGTAATCCCAGCACTTTGGGAGGCCGAGGCAGACGGATTGCCTGAGGTCAGGAGTTCGAGACCCGCCTGACCAACATGGTGAAACCCTGTCTCTACTAAAAATACAAAAATTAGCAGGGCGTGGTGGCGTGTGCCAGTATTCCCAGCTACCCAGGAGGCTGAGGCAGGAGAATTGCTTGAAGCGGGAGGCAGAGGTTGCAGTGAGCCGAGATTGCATCACTGCACTCCAGCCTGGGCGACAGAGCAAGACTCCATCACAAAAAAAAAAAAAAGAAAAAAAGAGAAAAAAAAGAAAAGAAGAAATGGCTAAAACACCACAACCAAGAAGAATGACAATGAATTGCTAATTAGGGTCCCTTCCAAATATTGGTAAGGATGGGATGTATCTGTTAACTTGGTTAAGATTCTATAGCTTGAGTTTGGTTACTTCAGGAAAGCATGGAATGAATCCCAGCTTTGGTTATGAAATCTGAGATCTGTGAAATTCCAGCACTTTATCCAGCATAGTGAAAGCAACATTCTTCCCCAAGGAAACCAAAGCCCATCCTTGATCCCCACAGGCTCAACCATGCCCTAATTAGAGTGTCTGTTAATCATTTTCCCTTGTTTCCCAGGCTGGTGGGCGGAGAGACCCACATTTGGGATGGTGGGGGAAAGACACCAGTTTCTCCATGTGTCTGTTCATTATGGCGCTCTGTGGTTTGAGATAGATGAAACACATTGGCATGTCCCAGGCTGACAATCTAAGGAAACTGGAGGAATCTTAGCAGCCAGGAGCTGGAGCTGGCCCTTAGCTCAGCTGGCGTGAGCAGCTAAAATGCAGGTGGTGGCTCTGTGGAGAAAAAGAGGCAGTGGCCGCTCCCTTGGAAAAGTCCTCCTCTGTTCCAATTCCCAGTGTTTATTTTGGCCCCAGGCAGAGGGCCCTAGTGGAACAGGGGCAGGGAGGAGGCATTTGGAAACCACAGGGTTACTGATGAGATGGTGCAAAACACACCTAACCAAAATACTGGCCCTAGGGTGGATCAGGGTGGTGCATTTCTGGACTGTTCCATGACCGTCAAGGCCAGTGTGCACAGCTAAACGCAACCAGGTTCCTGGTTCCTGGCAGACCTTGATTTCCTGAAAAACCTTCCACAGAGTGGTCCCAAGCTTTAGCTAGAAGGCCATATAAATCTCCTCCCTGCCCCCACTATGGCCTGCAGCTTCAGGGTGGGTGAATTTGCCTGTGATAAGCAAGGCTTCTGGAAGAAAGACCTGCTTAGGGGAGCAAATGCTTCCTGCCTAGGGGAAGGAGTGCCTTGTGCCCTGGCACAGATGGGAGCTGGGACCTGCGTCCCCCTCTGGCCCCTAGTCCCCCATCCAGGCGCTTAGGCTGGGGAGCAGGGGGTAGCACTTCTCTCACCCCAGCCTTTGATGTCACACAGAGCCCGGGGTTCACTGGAGTAGGGCTGCGGAGGAGGAAACCGTGTGGTCGGGGAGGGGACTGGAGACCTCTGCCCGCCCTTGGAAACGTGCATCTTTCCTTCTGTTTGCTTGCAGGGAGGAGAAGGTGAGTATAGCAGAGAACTGGAGGGGACTTCGGAGTCCGTCTCCCATGGGGCCTAGTGCTGAAGAACTTTTCCCGGTGGAGGGTGGGGTAGGCCCAGGTCATGAAACAGAGCCATTTTTTTTTTTTTTTTTTTTTTTTTGGAGACAGAGTCTTGCTCTGTCCAGGCTGGAGTGCAGTGGCACAATCTCGGCTCACTGAAACCTCTGCCTCCCGGGTTCAGGCAATTCTCCTGCCTCAGCCTCCCAAGTAGCTGGGACTACAGGCACACACCACCATGCTGGGCTAATTTTTGTATTTTTAGTAGAGACGGCGTTTTACCATGTTGTCCAGGCGGGTCTCAAACTTCTGACCTCAGGTGATCTGCCCACGTCGGCCTCCCAAAGTGCTGGGATTACAGGTGTGAGCCACCATGCCTGGCCCACAGACATACTTTTAAGATAGCAGAACCAGGACTGCTGCAGCCTCATACCCAGCTAAGCCTTCGGGTTTCCAAGTAAGACCCAAAGCAGTAAAGATTTCCCTCAATCGGCCAAGTCTTCAGACTGCTCACAGGCAAAAGAAGTGGACAGGGACTCAGCTTCTACACAGCTTCCCTGAACCCTCCCCTGCAGCTTTCTTTTCTTTCTTTCTTTTTTTTTTTTTTGAGATAGGGTCTCACTCTGTAGCCTAGGCTGGAGTGCAGTGGTGTGATCTCGGCTCACTGCAGCCTTGATCTCCTGGGCTCAGGTGATCCTCCCACCTGAGCCTCCCAAGTAGCTGAGACTACAGGCGTGTGCCACCGTGCCTGGCTTTATTTTTTTGGTTTGTTTTTGTTTTGTATTTTTTTCTAAAGACAAGGTTTTGCCATGTTGTCCAGGCTGCTCCTGAATTCTTGGGCTCAACTGATCCTCCCGCCTTGCCTCCCAAGGTGCTGGGATTTACAGGCATGAACCGCCATGCCTGGCCACCCCTGCAACTTTTGATGTCACTTGAAGGCAGGTTCTTTTCTCCCAGCTGAGCTCCAGCTTTCACCTTGAGGGCAGGGGCAATGCCTGACTCTCCTTTTGAATCCTCAGTGCCTTGAAATCTAGCCAAGATGGGTGCTCAGAATGTCCAGTGAATGATGAATAAGGGGCAGGAAAACATAGTGGGGGAGGAGGGAAGGGGACAGAAAGGTTGCCTGCAGGGAGCCTGCAGGGTGGGGAAGTGGAGATGGGAAGGGCACAGGAAATCTTGCTGGTGAGGCTGGAGGACACTTGTCTCTCAGCCTTCTGATGCCATCTGCAAACCTCACAGGTCCCCTTCTGCAGCCTTTCCTGGAGGTTTGCTTAAGAAGGTCGAGAGAGGGAATTAGCCAGAGACAACACGTTTCTCTTCGCAGTGGTTGGAAGTCAGTAGAAGCTGGATGGGGAAGGGCTGGAATGGGAACCCGACTTCAGGTACGTGCGTTCCTCATTCATGCTGAGCCCTGGGCTCTGGACGGCACCACACAGGCCTGCATGCTGGCGAGGCTGGTGCAGAGAGGTGAGTCATCCATTCTTCATGGCACAGCTGTCGCCTTCCTGAAACTCACATTAGACACGCGCTCATAGAATCAAATGTACCACATGCAGCCATTACAGACGGGCACACCAACCCCAGACTGCTGTTGCCAGGTATGTGCGTGGTTCCTCTCACTCGCTGGTCCTGCAGAGCCTGGGGATGTCTGCAAGGATGAAATGAGGTACAGATAAGGTTCACTGAGGCCACTTTTCTCTATTTTTGTGCTAAAGTGACCAAGAATAAAAACTCTGGTCACCTGGTAGCCCCTGCACTAGAGGCCAAGTGTGGTGGCTCACACCTGTAATCCCAGTACTTTGGGAGGCTGAGGTGGGCGGATCACGAGGTCAAGAGATTGAGACCATCCTGGCCAACATAGTGAAACCCCATCTCTACTAAAAATACAAAAATTAGCTGGACGTGGTGGTGCACACCTGTCATCCCAGCTACTCGGGAGGCTGAGGCAGAAGAATTGCTTGAACCTGGGAGGCAGAGGTTGCAGTGAGCCAAGATCGCGCCACTGCACTCCAGCCTCATGACAGAGAGAGGCTCCCTCTCAAAAAAAGAAAAAAAAAAAAGTAAGTCTACATATATTCCAATCAATGGATGCCTGCGAGACCGTGAACCAAACCTAAGCACCTAGAGGCTCCAGTGCATCTGTTTGGCCGGCACATTGGTTGTATCCACTTAGAGAATAACCACTCGCTTAGGAAGCATCCAGCCAGCCCTCCCTGCTGTGTGCCAGGCCTGGGCTGGGTGCTGGGGTGCAGAAAGAGGCAAGGCAGGTGGTGCCTCCCCAGGACCCCGGCTTCTCTCCATGTCCCATCGGGGGGTCTCCTGAATCTGAGCATTTCCCCAAAGCGAGTGCATTTTAAGTTCTTTTACAAATAATATTTCCAAGGACTGAAACCAAAAGGCCCCAGTGGAAAGAAGGGGTTTATATTACCACTCTCCCAGCCCTGCTGCCTAACCTAGAAGCATCAGAGGCAGATGGCTTCTTGGAGGTCACCCAGTGCAGGGTTTCTTTAGGTCAAAAGAGAGTGTGGTGACAGTGTTGTGATGTGTAATGCATTCAGGAGGTGTAACTCAGGCTCTACCTGCAAACCCAGGGTACAGTCTGCTGCTGAGAGGCTGTCAGAGTGGTGAGTAGCCACTCATACCACCTGTCATCAGAGAATGAGGAGCGAGCAGGGGAGGGGCAGGCCGTGTGGCCTCCGGAGATGGCAGCAGACGGAGATCCGGGCAGAGGCAAGTTGGACTTTGTCCCTGGCTATGCCACGGACTCTGATTCACCATTTAGAGAGGACTCACTGGTTTTCTCTTCCTGGGCCGTGCGTGCGTGCGTGCTTGCTTGCTTGATTTCTTTCTTTCTTTCTCTTTCTTTCTCTCTCTCTTTCTTTCTTTCTTTCTTTCTTTTTCTTTCTTTCTTTCTTTCTTTCTTTCTTTCTTTCTTTCCTTTCTCCTTCCTTTCTTTTGTTTTCTTTCTTTTCTCTTTCTTTTTCTTTCTCTCTCTCTCCTTCCTTCCTTCTTTCATTCTTTTTCTTTCCTTCTTCTCCTTTATTCCCTTCCCTTCCCTTCCTTCCCTCCTTCTTTCTCTCTTTATTATCCTTTCTTTCTTTTTTTTTTTTTTTTAGAAAGAAGCACCTGCCTTGCCTCCTTCCCTCCTTTGCCTGTCCAAAGGTGAATGATATGAGTCGGGCAGTGTGCATGTCTTCCCAGAAGAAAAAATGAGGCTCAGATGTGACTCGGTGTCCCCGGTGAGTGGGTGCATCATAAATGTCAGACATTGACTGCACCGAAAAGCCTTCTTGGGCTGTCTTCACCGTCTTGTTCTTGGCTTTGGACTCCTGAGCTGCACAATAAGGATGTGCATGGTGCTGCTGACCGTATGCTCCCCCGACAGTTCCAGGAAGGTGCAGAGTGCTGACAGCCACGCCCTGGAGCTTGCGCTTGCCAGTGCTTAGTGAGTAAGGAATTGTGAGACTTGTACAGCTCTGACAGCTTCTTAGGGATCACATAGCTCAGTAGGTGAGCCCAGCAGTTTCTGGGTGGGGGAGGGCGCTGAGTGAGCCAGCAGTGGAGAGGGGCTGGACAAGATCCGCTGATCACAGAAGAGGAGAGGGAGGTTCTGAGTGACCCACAGCACACTCCACACCCTTGGAAGATGGAGAACCCTTCCTAGCCCCCCACTGAGTCCTGGAGGCAGCCAGTAGAATGTTCTGGGTCTGAGACCCAAGTCATTTTTCACCCTGATCCTGCCCTCTCCTTGGTAGCTCTCAGAACTGACTCCTGAGGGAAGGCAAGTGTTTGAATTGACTTTCTCCAAGGTTCTCACTCTTAGGAAGATGCAGGTGGAGTTATCTGTGATTCTCCCTGTAGGTCAGGTGAGTCCTCAAACTGCTTCCCTCATGGTGATAAAGTGGCTGCCAACACCTTCCAGGCCACATGTGTCTTCGTTCATATCTAGGAGGGAGATGGCTTCACATCCCCCAGACATAGAACAAAGCCCCCAAAGAAGAGGACTTGCTGGTTTTCCATTCTTTGCTTTCCTAGTTCCTTAAGTCCTGGAGGTAGTGGGTTAGAGTCAGAATGGACAAGTAATTCGTTGTCCAGATCAGGCCCTTTCCAGAGTGATGGGATGGGTGGTGCATGTGATAATGGTGCTGGGATGGCAGAGGGAGCCGGTCACCTTGGCCCTTGTGGGGGACCCAGGAGAGCTGAGTGGAGGTCCAGCTCTGCCACTGGACTTCTGGGGCTCAGTTTCCTCCTCTGTCAAATGGTGTCATTTGATTGTGATACTTTTTGTCTCTAGTTTCCTAATGAATGCCAGCTGCTTGACAGAATGCATCTCATTTTGAAGGGAAATGTCCACTGCATTTGTTTTAAAATATCTCCTGGAAAAGGGAGACCTTCTTAGCAGAATTTACCATTTAAGGAGCCAAGTGGTATTGCCAGCAGCAGGCACTGGTGACATCTGCCCGCACGGCTGGCCGGGGTTTGAGAGTGAAGCATGGGAATCCTGTCTCCTCTGCCCCTGCTGCCTTGAGCAGAGAAGGAATTTCTCAGGCTCTCGTTCCCAGAAATCATCCCAGTTACGACTCGAATGCAACCTCCCCCTCCCTGCCCACCCTATCGGGCAAAACAAACCTAACAAAACTGCAAATGATCTAAGACCAAAATAGATCTTTCTGAATTTTAACCTTGAGGGCATGGTGGTTCATTGAACCCAGCTGCCAATTCGTCTTCCCAGCATGCGTGGCCTTTCGGTTTCACCCTCTTCTGTGCCCGTGACTGACATGTCCCCTTTGTCCTAATGCTGCCAGCCCTTCCTCCTTGCAGTGTCTCTGGGATGCCTTCCCCTTCCTTGACCTCCATGGGGCCTTCCTCAGCTGATCACTCACTGTTCCTGCCTCCCAGCCGATGGCTCTGATTCTCAATGGCTTCTGCATAGTGAATGCTGTCAGGCAATCTTCCTGGATATCTCCTTCACGACGTTGCTCCTTCTGCCTGAGAATCTGTAACGAGCACGGAAGGTCTCTGGATGTTGTGGGGACATGCTGGGTTGTTCTGATGGGCCTTTTGGGGGCTCCTGTCCGGTGCCCCGGGAATGTCTGTGTGGGAGGACTTGGTGTGGCAATCTGGTTGGAAGGGAGGGGTTACTGTTGTAGAAAGCACACCATCTTTACCTCCTGCGTCGTCATAAAGCCATGAAAAGAGTAAAAGTTTCTAAAGGTGATTTTATTAGAGTGCTTCACAGTCCAGCTACAGAACATCCACATCCAACGACTGTCAACAAGGGCTTTGTCAGCTCCCACAGCTAAAACACACCAAGGAAGTTCAGGCATCTGGGTTGATTTTCTCCAAAGCTCTTGATCCTATGAGGCTGCAGGTCGAGTTATCTGTGATGCTCCCTGTGGGTCAGGTTAATTCTCAGCCTGCTTCCCTCATGGTGATAAAGTGGCTGCCAGCACCTCCTGGACCATGAGCATCCTTGTTCACATGCAGGAGGAGGGAGACATCTGCCCTCACGGCAGGCCGGGGTTTGAGAGTGAACCTTCCCCTAAACATAGAGCAAAGCCCCAAGTTTCCCTCTGAAAGGATTCATTTAGGTTTTTCGTCCATCCTCGAAACCACATCTACAATAAGAGAAGTCACTGCAGGTGCCCGGGGTGCCCTCCTGGAGCCTTGGGGGTGTGAGCACCTACCCCACAGGCCATTGCTGAGTGACCGTGGGTTGGTGGGGGAGCCCTGTGTCACCACAGCGTAAGATGGAGAAACCACATCACAGGGGAGCAACGCTAAGGGATGGCCTGACCGAGAGGTAGGTGGAGACTTTGTATGTGTGGGGTACACACACCCCAGCTCCTGCCCAGCCCCAAAGGCTGTTAACTGGGCATGAAAGTGCTGGCCCAGGGCTGGGTGCAGGCTCATGTCTGTAATTCTAGCATTTTGGGAGGCCAAGGTGGATGGATTGCTTGAGCCCAGGAGTTCAAGACCAGCCTGAGCAACATAGTGAGACCATGATTCTACAAAAAATAAAAAATTAGCCAGGTGTGATGGTGCATGCCTATAGTCCCAGCTACTTGGGAGGCTGAGGTGGGAGGATCGCTTGAGCCAAGGAGGTCAAGGCTACAGAGAGCCAAGATCGCACCACTGCACTCCAGCTTGGGCAACAGAGCTCTGAATTTGTGTGATCATGGCTCTCTGCATTGATTCTGTCGCCAAAAATAAATAAACAAACAAACAAATAAATAAACTAAATAAATAGATAAATAAAGTTCTGGCCTAGAAAAGGAAGTGGGTTTGAGAAATAGTTGGGGTGGGGAAGGAGCTTTCCTGAAAGAGCCACCTTTCCTTTGAAAAAGGAGAAACGATGGCTCTGGAAGGACCCCCTCTGGAGTCAGACTTGAGTCCAAGCATACTTTTGAGGACACATCAAGTGTACGGAAAACGAAGGAGGGGGTACAGGGTGGGGCCTGTACCTCCCGGGGTTCCCCAGTTGATGGCATCCTGTGCCTGCCTTTCAGGAAGGAGCGGGTTTCCTTCTGGTGCACAGCTCTGCCTCCCTGGTTGCCTGCTGCCTTTCTGAAAGTCCCCTCTTGTGTATGCATCAGCCCCCGATTGATACGGCCACAGAGTAGGTGGACACCTGCATGCCTCAGTTTCCTCACGGAAGAAGCAGAGATGCGTTCACAGGGAACCACGTAAGGAGCTTCTAGATACAAGCCTCACCCCTGAGGACAAAACTGACTTTCCTCAGGACCCAAAAGTCCCGGGGATTTTGGTTTCTTTATGGCCGGGAGTCAGGAAAGACCCTGCCTGCCCAGTGGCGAGGACACGTGGCCTCTCCTTCTCTGCTTCCTCGGGACAGGAAATGGCAGGCAGCACCTCGCTTTAATCCATGTCCAGCCCAACACCCCTTCCTATGTTGGAAAACTCATAGAATCCATCCGGGGAAGAAAAGGTGCTGCAGTTCCAGTTGCAACGACACCCTCTGTTCACTGCTGCCCGGGCCCTGTGGCACTGGGTAAGATGGTGGGTGGTGGGAGTGGCTGTATTTTGGGAGGCTCCCATGCACGTTGTGTGACCGTGGGGTGGGGCACACAGTGGCCCCTCAGGGGCATGTGGTTTGGTGGACTCCAAGTTCACAGCAGTGAGACCCACTGAGTCAGTGGCGGCAGTGAGGTTCCAGGAGCCTGGCTTTTCAATGCCAGAAGACATATTGCTGAGGGTCACCTGAAGCTGGAATTGGACCAACCCAGGAAGGATAAATGAGACACTTGCAGAACCAGAAGGACCTTAGTGATCCCCAGTCCCCTCCTTTGAGTTTATACAGAGAGAGACAGGGAGACCCAGGGAAGGGACAGGATTTACCCACAAAACTAAGCACTAGAAAAGGTTGGAATTTGACTTGAACTCTTGAACCTATTATGTCCTCATCTCCAGTCCTGGGCCTGTTATTGCGAATACATTATGTAAATGGAGAAACTTAATGTTTTAAGGAAATTATGGCTCAAATAACATACACTATTAACTATTTTAAGGCCTAAAAAACAAAAGAAAAACAGGTTGGGCAACCTCATCACTTCTTTGTTCTTGGTTTTCACGTCTCAACAGGGTTCTTCCTAGTTGGGGTGGTCTGGAGTCAGAAAGGCCCCCAGGGTCTCCCCAGATTTTAGAATTCTAAGGCCTAACCCACAAGTCTGTGGTTTGGAGTGAATTTGTATGGGTTGGGGGTCTCCTTCAAGTCACTTAATGCTTTCAGAAAATGTGAAAAAAATTAGTGGGGCATGGTGGGGTACACCTGTGGTCCCAGCTACTCTGGAGGTTGAGGCGGGAGGATTGCTTGAATCCAGGAGGTTGAGGCTGCGGTGAGCTATGATAGCGCCACTGCACTGCAGCCTGGGCAACAGAGCGAGACCCTGTCAAAACAAACAAACACACACAAACCAACCAAACAAAAAAAGCAAGAAAATGTGACCACATGTGAGAGAGGAGAAGGAGGAATGAGGATGTTAACATGCTGGTGAGGTCTTTCGGAGGCCTTTTGGTCATCAGGGTTTACACTGGGGAAATTACGTGCATAGAATGGGAAGTAAGAGAACGAAGAGGGTCTTTCGAAGGTCAGCCCCACGAGGTCCACGCTCGCTCCTTGATCATGATTTTGGTTTTGTTTTGAAAGCCAGTCTTCCCATTTCACTGCCTTATGTAACTGCATGGGCTTGTTTTGAAGCTGGATTTAATTTTAGGTGAAGTTATACATATTTAGACTTATTAGGCCTCATGAGGAGTGAAACTCAGTCTGGCTGGTGCTTGCCCTGGGAATTAATGTGGTGTTTTCATCCGAGTTCTGGAAATCAACTGCTGCAGGAATATGTCTTGGATCCCATACTGGTGTGATCCCACCCACCCGGGACGCTGTGCAGAGCTGGCCCCGAGCCTGCACCTGTCTTTCGTTTTCCTACACTCGATGTGTCCTCAAGAGTGTATTTGGACTCAAGTCTGACTCCAGAGGCGGTCCTTCCAGAGCTACTGTTTCTCCTTTTTCAAAGAAAAGGTGGCTCTTTCAGGAAAGCCCCTTCCCCCCACCAACTACTTCTCAAACCTACTCCTTTTGCTGGGCCCAAACTAACTTTTTCTTTCCTTCCTTCCTTCCTTCCTTCCTTCCTTCCTTCCTTCCTTCCTTCCTTCCTTCCTTCCTTCCTTCTCTTTCTTTCTTGCTTTCTTGCTTTCCTTCTTTCTTTCTTTCTGTCTTGTCAATGCAGGGAGCTATGATCACACTGCTGCCCTCCACCTCTGTTGCCCCAGCTGGAGTGCAGTGGTGCAATCTCAGCTCTCTGTAGCTTTGACCTCCCTGGCTCAAGCGATCCTCCCACATCAGCCTCCCAAGTAACTGGGACTACAGGCATGCACCACCACATCTGGCTGATCCCTTGTGCCTCAGTTTTCACCTCACCTTTCAGGCCTTTCTAGGAAAAAATCCTGCAATGAAGCTTGTGGAGATCCTTGAAGATGAGACCAGTGGAGCCTGGTCTAACCCCAAGGCGAGTGGGGAGGCCCGGGCAGGGAGTGCGTGGGGGCTGCACTTGCTGTTTTCCACGCAGCACCAAGGATGGCTTCCCTCCCAGGATCCTGCCCTGGCTAATGACATTGAACCTGCATCATGCATCTGCACCGCCTCCCGGAGTCCGAGGACCGTGCTGCACAGCCTCCTTCTGGGACTGAAGTTGGAGGAGTGAGAAGGGAGGGTTCCCTCCTCCTTCTGAAGTCTGAGGACAGGCTCCTTCTGACTGAGGAAAGGAAACATCATTATTGCTTATGAGAGGATGGGAAGGGAACCACCCCCCACAGAAGGCAAACCAGTCTTGGCGTCTCCAGGAAGCTCGGCATCTGGAGAGTGGTTGGCTACGCTGGTGTCTCCTCTCTCTCTCACTTTTCCTCGACTGTACTTACAGAAAAGTGTGCATGCCGTGAGTGTTCAGCCAGTTGAAGTTTTATAAGCGGAGCCCACTCTGAAGCCATGCCCCGCCGGCATCCCAGACCCTATCCGCGCCCCTGCCCCGGGCGGCCGCCATCCGGTTCCCAGAAGCAAGGCTGGCTCTGCCTGTCCTTGGACTTCATACACTGGCAGCAAACAGCGTGTGCCCTTTTGTTTCTGGCTCTTTTGCTCAGTGGTGTTTGTCCCACCTCTTTGGAGGGATCTAAAACCCAAGCAGGGTTACCAGTGTGTGGGTCCCACAGGCAGCTTCCCAGTAGGATGTCAGGAAAAGAAAGGTGATGAGCTCAGAGGCAACTTAAGCCCAAAGCCAGAGAGACCAATGTTGTCTCCAGAGCTGGTCCCCACAATGTGGTGCAGAGCTCTGACCACTTGTCCCCAGCATGCAGGCTGCGCAAGGCTGGGGGAAGTCCTCCTGTCCTGGTGGCCCCAGAAGCCAATGGAAGAGGCGTGACTTCTCAGGGCCCCCAGCACTCTGTCACATTCACACACGCTTTCCTGGTGCTAGGAACTGAGTGTTTGTGTCTCCCCCAGATTCCCACGTTGAAATCCTCACCCGCGTGAAGATGGTGTTAGGAGGTCAGACCTTTGGAAGGTGATGAGGTCATGAGGGTGGAGCCCCAACGAATGGGATTAGTGCCCTCATGAAAGAGACACAAGAGAGATGATCTCTTTCCTCCGATTGAGGACACAGCAGGAAGCCTGCCCGTCTGCAACCAAGAAGCCAGCCTGCAGCAGAATCTGACGGTGCAGGCGCCCGGATCTCAGAACTGCCAGCCTGCAGAACTCAGAGGAGAGACATGTCTGTTGTTTGTAGGTCACCCAGTCAGCGGTTCTTTTTATAGCAGCCTGAACTGACTAAGACACTTGGGAAGGCTTGTTCCTTTTTGGTTTTGGTTCTTGTTTTGTTTTAACCTAACCAAATTCTTGACCCAGTTATTTAGAAAAGAGAAGCCATGTCTTCTGAGGCGCCAGTCTTCAACAGGGAAGGCCTCCAGTGGTCTCGGAGTCTGCTGTTTGCTAGGTTGGGAGAAGCTCCTGCACTTCTTAAAACCCTTCTAAGGCAACTTATAGATCATGAAAGCCATGAAATCATTGTTTTTTAATTGTTTCTCACACTATTAATTCAGGAGGGAGATCTTTACCTTTCATCCTATTTTGTGCACGAGGAAAAAAGTAGGAATTGAGGTCAAGTTAGGCAGGGACCTCGGAGTCCTTTTGGGAGTGTAAGGGCTGGCCATGCCAACAGATAAGATGGAGCTTTTTACAAAAATATTTATTTATTTTAAAATAGAGATGAGGACTCACTAAGTTGCCTAGGCTGGTCACGAACTCCTGGCCTCAAGCAGTCCTCCTGCCGTGGCCTCCCAAAGTGCTGGGATTACAGGCGTGAGATGGATCTTGTTGTGACACTGTCGGCATGAGTGTGCGGTCGCCACACAGTCTTGGTGACTTAGCCTTTCATGTTAGCTGTGATTAGGGTTGTGTCGTTCATGAGAACAGCTCTGGAGAAAGGCCTTGGGTAAGGCATGAAATGGTTTTTCTCTTCCTTGAGCTTCATTTATTTTTCCCCCTCAGGATGCTTGCAGATGTTAGGACTACGCCCACATGCTAAGAGCACCTGGGAAGGTGATGGGATTCCTGTGGGCTCCTTATCAGGTGGACTCAGGAAGGTGGTGGACTTCCTGTGGGCCCCTCTTCAGATGTGCCTGGGAGGGTAATGGACTTCCTGTGGTCCCCTCATCAAGTGGGCCTGGGAGGGTGATGGACTTCCTGTGGTCCCCTCATCAAGTGGGCCTGGGAGGGTGATGGACTTCCTGTGGACCCCTCATCAGGTGGGCCTGGGAGGGTGACAGACTTCCTGTGGGCCCCTCGTCAGACGGGCCTGGGAGGGTGACGGACTTCCTGTGGGCCCCTCGTCAGACGGGCTACTTGCCCACCCCGTGTCTGCATTGAGGCTGCAGCAGGAATAGCACATTGGAGCTTAAAGCAGAGTGCTGATGTGTGCACCGCATTCTTCCAGGGCGGCTGTGGTGTTGAAAGCTCATTTGGCCAGGGTTGAATTAGCAGAGTGCATTGAGAAATGGAACTCAAGCCCAGTGTGATCTTCTGGGAAAAGCTGACACCAGGTAGGCCAAAAGCCAACATCAAATCCACACAGTGGCACCACCGACTGCAGTCGGGGAGAGAGCCACATGCTCCAAATTGGGTGAAGGTGGGGTCTGGAGAAGGCAGATTAGGAACAAATGAAGGGGGCTCAGGGGCTTCTGTGGCTGCTTTGAAGATTCCAGACCAGTGTTACGGGCAGGGGGTGCAAAGCCTGGCTGGTGTTAGGACTCCTGGGTCCCATCCTGGCAAGTGAGGGCCTGGTCAGGGGAATGCCAGCTGCAAGGGGCTCCCCTCTAGAGTCCCAGGGCAGAACTCTGCTTTGCTAGTCTTTCCCAAGCAGGAGGATGGCTTTGCCAGCCTCAGCGCATGCACCCAGTTCTGAGCGCTGTCTGGCATCTCAGCAACTACTCGCTAAACGTGCCGATTTGGTTGAGTCCTAATAGCCAAGGGAGGAAGTGGTCAGAGTGGGCCAGCCCTGAGTGCAGCTCACTGGTGGGGATTTATCGGGGCTGTCTATTGCTTGTTCTCCTCCATAGCAGCATGTGGGAAACAGAGGCATTTCCGGTGTCCAGGTGACCTTGTGAAAGGGTCTTTTTAGTATTTTTTAAGATAGGGTCCGCTCAGGCTGGAGTGCAGTGGTGTGATCATAGCTCACGGCAGCCTCCAATTTCTGGGCTCCAGTGATCCTCCCGCCTCAGCCTCCAGAGTAGCTGGGATGACAGGCTCACACCACCATGCCTGGCTAAGTTTTGTATTTTTTGTAGGGATGCAGCCTCGCTATGGTGCCCAGGCTGGTCTTGAAATCCTAGCCTCTAGTGACCTGCCTGCCTTGGCCTCCCAAAGCTCTGGGATTAAATGCGTGACTCACCATACCTGGCCCCAAAACGTCTTAATTCCAGACCCTCCTTGCTCACTGGAAACTCCTTTTCTGATGCCTTGGGTGAGCTGTGGTCTTCATCGTGGCCTCCCTTTATTTTTTTTTTTCCAGCTATCTACATTTTCACTTATTATCTGATTTTGAGGAGACTTGGAAATTTATAACATTTCTCTATGGCTCACCCACCATCTTGGGTCTCTAAAATTCACTTCCAGCAGGGCCAAGGAAATATTGAAGACTACACTGTTGTTTTTCCAAATGTTATCACAGGAGCAAGAGCTGAAGACCAGAATCTTCCTCCCGTCTTCCCTTCATGCTCATTCTCTCTCTCTCCCCCTCATTCTTCCCCAGTCTCTCTCCCACCCCTCTCTTCTCTCTTTCCCTGGGCTACACAATGATAACATACAAAATAGAAACAGAAAACTAAAATTAGATGTGTGTGACCAAGGATCCTGCTTTGAGCAAAGGAAAAATAAACCATACCCACATTTCTATTTTTCCCAGGACTTGAAGAACAACCTTGGCTATTTGGGCAGTTGGCTATTCCTGGGAACATTTCAGAAATAACTCATGTTTGTTTATTATTGAGTATTTATAACAGTTTCAGAGTAGGTTTCCAATAGCCCCACGGAGGACAGCGTGGGCTCCGGGAGGGATGGGCAGGAGGGCCTCTGGCCAGGAGGCGGGAAGGGCACCATCACTGCTGGGTCTCACACCCCCACCTGCTCCTTCAAATTTCTGCTTGCTGAGGCCACAACACAGGGGTGACTTCCCGAAACACAGGGCTCGGAGCTTTGTTTCTCTGTGAGTCTTCCCTGAAAGGACGTAAGAGCCTAAATTGGATTACTTCTTGCATTTGATGGAGTGTGGTGCACACACACACACACACACACACACACACACAGGCAAACACTCTGTGCTCAGGCATGGATTAGAGGTGACATTTCTGGAGGCATGAATGGATGGCGGATTCCTGAGCAATCACCCACAGACCTGTGCGCCCAGGAATGCCGCCGGCTGCAGGGCGCTGACATCACCCCTCTCCTCCGGGCCCTGGGAGAAGTGCTCGGACCCCAGGTCTCAGGGCGGTTATTTTTCGCCAGCAGACCGATGCTGTGGCATTCTCACGGTGTGCTCCAGGGAGCCAGGCTTTCGGGGAGGGCCCCTTTGGCCTTTTGAGCTCCCAGTCTCTGCCTCTGCTGTGAAAGAACCAAGAGTTACAGGTGGTTAAAGGTGGAGGGGACTTGGGACCCGTTTGCTCAGCATCTTCCACTGGTAGATGAGGCCAGAGGTCAAACAGCCTACTCAAGGTCAAACAGCCTGTTCAAGGTCAAACAGTCAGCGACAAAGCCACTGTCCCCTTCAGCTCGCCCCTGCACTGCTCTTTGTTTATTACAGTGATCCTCAAACAAGGTAGTCTCAGGACTCACTTTGTACTCTGAAAAACCACTGAGGCTCCCGAGGAGCTCTTGTTTATATGGCCGCATCTATCAATGTATGTTGCATTAACAATTACAGCTGAGAAACTTAAAAAATATGCATGTATTAATCTATCAGTCGATTAATAAACCTGTTGCACACCAACATCAAATATTCTTATAGGAAATAATTATATTTTTTCAAGACAAAAGAATTCAGTGAAAAGAAGGGCATTATTTTACATCTTGCAAGTCCTTTTAATGTATGGCTTAATAGAGGACGTTAAGGTTGTCATATCTCCTTCCGCATTCAATCGGAATTGAACCGCGTGTCATGTAGCTTCTGGAAACTTCACTGTGAGAGAATGAGAATGAAGAAGTCAATTAGTGTCTTAGGATTATTATGAAAGGATCTGGAACCCTTCAGCTGTTCCTCGGTGACACTTTGAGAACCACTGGCCAATCGTATGTTTCTGTTGCCTCTCCGGCAGCACTCTTTTTGACTCTGGCCCACGCAGTCGTTCGATAAACATGCATTGAGGAACTACCAGGTGTTAAGCTGGGAATTTAAAAACAAATGTCGCATATGTAAATGCTGGTCCAAAAACTCAGTTGCAGAAGAAATAGAGCACACTTTATTTTCCTGTAGTAACTTGACATCTGAGTGCAGGTCCGGGTGGCAGGGTCCTGGGAAATTCCAGTCAGTCCTTCCCCGGCTTTCTCCACCCAAAGACTGTGGGGTAACCTTGGGGGTCTCAGGGCCCTCATTTCCTTGTGGGGCCTTTATGCTCTGTGTGCACGGGGGCAGCTGAGACTCCGAGGCCTGGTCTCATGGCACTCTGGCTTCCCGGGCAGGAGGTGAAGGAGGTGGGGGGGTCCATCTGCCCTCTCCAGAGTTCAGCTCTGTCCCTCAGAGGAGCTGAGAACATGGGCACAGTTCCCCAGGGTGCATGTTCTCTCTCTCCCGTCTCATTCTCTCTCGTTCTCTCTTGTTCTCTTTCTCTCTCCTCTTGTTCTCTCTGTCTTGTTCTTTCTCTCCTGTCTCTCTCTTGTTCTCTCTCCTTCTTCTTTCTCTTGTTCTCTCTCTCCTCTCTCTTGTTCTCTCTCTCTCGTTCTTCTCTCTCCTCTCTCTTACATTCTCACTCTCTCATCTCACTCTCATTCTCTCCTCTCTCTTGTTCTCTCTCTCTCGTTCTTCTCTCTCTCTCCTCTCTCTCTTGCATTCTCACTCTCTCATCTCTATCTCATTCTCTCCTCTCGTTCTTTCTCTCTCTCTCATTCTCTCTCCTCTCTCTCGCTTTCTCTCTTGTTCTCTCTCATTCTGTCTCTCTCATTCTCTCGTTCTTCTCTCTCTCTCTGCTTCTCTCTCTTGTGTTCTTGCTCTCTCTTCTCACTCTTATTCTTGCTTTCCTCTCCCTCGTTCTCTCTCTTGTTCTCTTTCTCTCTGATTCTCTCCCTCGTTCTGTCTCTCTCGTTCTTCTCTCTCTCTCCTCTCTCGTTCTCCTTTTCTCTCATTTTCTCTCTCCTCTCTCTCTTGTTCTCTCGTTCTCTTTCTCTCATTCTTCTCTCTCTCTCCTTCTCTCTCTTTCCCTCTGTTGTTGTTTCTACCTCTCCCTTGGCTGCTTCCTATCAGGCCTGATTAATCTCTTGTTGGGGAGATCCTTCTCCCCTCAAGCTTCTTCAAGCCCTCTCTGCCCACTCCACCTTCCCCTTTCTCCCAGGGGCTTGGGGTTTTAGAACCAAAAGCTAGAAAAATGTGCAGGCTGTTTCTGCCCCGGCCTGCCTCACGCCTCCCTCAGGATTAAATGAGATAATAGTACATGTGCCTGGCTCACACAAGGACCCACTGAAGCCGCTGTTGGTGTCCTTGCGATTTGTACTCAGGGATATTGAGGCAGAAAGGTAAACAGGGAAGAGGAAAGGGGAAAATTCAGGGAGAGGAAACCTGAGGCATTCACATTTCAACACAGGCCATGACAGCGGCCCCTGGTCCCTGGTCTTCTGCAGCTGCTGGGGTCCCTCAGTACTAAAGGGAGGGGTGGGGAGCATCCCCCCATGAGGGGGGCATCCCCTGCTGCCCTCTCCTCAGCCACTCTCCTTTCTCAGGTCATGGCATGGATTTCATTTCCAGGAAATCCACTTCTAGCTCACTCGTCAGCAGGCCCAGTTGAAGGGACACAGCCTCATGGGGTCTCAGCAGGCCCCATTGGTGGAATGAAGCCTTGTGGGACCAGCACTCCCGGTTGGTGGGACGCAGGCCTGTGAGCTCAGCAGGCTCATTTGGTGGGACACAGCCTCATAGGGTCTCAGCATCAGCAGAGCTTTGGAGCCTCCAGTCCCCTCTGACACTGCCCTGCTGGGACTGCCCAGCCTCTGCTCAGACGCTTCCAGGGATGGGCCCTTCCTTTCCGGCTCCTGAGTCCTCCTCCTGGTGACTCGCCTGCTGCCCCAGGCGTTTTCAGGGGTGTCAGTCCCTATGTGTCCTCATCTGTCTAGGACCAGTGCCCCTGGGAGCACATGCCTGGCCGTCTGCTGGGAGCCGCTGGGCCAGCCCTGGGTAATTTCTGTGGGACATGCAGACCACGGCGGGCGCACCCTGTAGGTAGTCAGTAATGGCTCACGGATGACGGGTGTGAGCTGGAGCAGCAGTGGGCAGGGGCAGCTCACCTCTTTGCAGGAGGCGGGTGGGGCGGCCGCTCCGGGTGGCTGAAACCGATGGGGCAGGGCTGTCTTGACCACAGCTCGGGCCCAGGCTGCTCATCATCACTCCCTTTGCCCACCTGGATGGGGCTGCTCATGCATGGCCACTACGAACTGCACTCTGCATGTGTGTATGTGTGTGTATGTGTGTATGTGCATGTGTGTATGTGTGTATGTGCATGCGTGTGCGTGTATGTGTGTATGCGTGTGTGTGTGTGTGTGTGTGTGTGTGTGTGGTGGCCTGCGCTCTGTACACACAACCGCCCAGCAGAGAGAAAGAAGAGCACGGGATGGGAGAATCTCCTTTCTTTCCTCTGACGCTGTCAAGCCTTGTGGGTAAATCTGGAAGACGTGGTTGGTGGACAGTTAAGATTCCATTAAAAATGGGAAAGAGCCCCTGCATGTTGCCTTTAGGCCGTGATGCTCACAGCTGGATGAGTGTCTCGCCTGGCTGGTGCTTGCTTCCTTTGAACTCCTTTGCGAAGCAGGCTGGTGGTCTCCCGTGTGGGGATCAGACATGGCATTGGGTCCTGGCTGCACCCCACAGCTGGACCCCGAGCTCTTGTGAGTCTGGGCAGCGTCACCCTTCTGTTCTCCTGGAGTGGAAACGGGAGATGGGTGGATATGTTGCAGAAAAGCAGGATGACGGCAAGCCCCGAGGGCCCCAGCCTGGGTTTCCTGCACAGGCAAAGCTACTTGTGGGGGCTTGAGTGAAGAAGCCACAGTATATTACAACTCAGGAAAAAATCCACATTGTCTGTCCTGAGCAGCCTCATGGGAGGTGAATTAGAGGTGAGTCAGATGCCTTCGGGGGAGGAAATGACTTATCAGGCTGAACTTCCTTCAAAGTACGTCCATCCATCACTTGCAGAAAACAAAAGAGAGCAAGAGAGAAGACAGTGGGTGAAGTCCTGGTTCCAGACTCCCCTTTTTGCCGGGATATGATGGATCTGTCAGCTGGTGAGGCCCCTCTAAGAGGGGTGGTATCTTCGGGCCAGGTCAGGCCCATCTGGGAGGCTCAGGCATTTCCTGCAAGGGTGAAGGCCGCTCTCCATGCACTTTTAGGGTCCCCTGCTCCCACAGCGTAGCCACCCTGGCTCTTCTCCTGGTGAGAGTCTGCCTTGAGGGCTGAACGGTGCCACTGAGGAGCTGGAGAAGCTATAGCTTCCCATGGCAGCTTTTGTGGCCGGGAGTCCTGGTTCAGTCCTGTGCCTAGGGATTCTTGCTATTGCATGCATGCTTGTCTTAGACGGAAAGCTGGGGGAGGCACAGGACTTTCTGTCCGAAATGTTTTGTGCAGTGCTCAGCATGGTTCACCTCTCCTCACTGCCCCAGTATGATGATTTCTGCAAGAGTTTATCCTGATGATTCTATTTCCCCACTTTATAAAGGTGCCTAGAGTCCTAGAGAGCTAGAGATGGAGGGAAATTCAGATCATCTAAACCCTTCAGCCCTTCACTGGACAGAAGAGGAAACTGAGGCTCCATCTGCATGACGTTCCCAGAGTCACGGCACAAATTCATGGAAGAAGCAGCAGGAAACTCAGTTCTCCAGTCTGGGTCCAATGTGTGTTTTAGAAATATCTCCACAGGGTTAATGACTCAATTTTTCATGCATGATTGCTAGTAATGACAATCATGTTATGTTTGTTTCTGTAGCTTTGGAAATCACTCCTTCCACTTGAGTTTCAGGTCCCAACTGTCCACACCTGCAGGAGTGAGGTTTTGCTGAGACTGATAAGGCACTCACATTTTGTGGGAGTTGAATTGTCTCTGTAGCCTAGAATCTAGATTTTTTTCCCTCCTCTGCTCTCAGTGAACGGAGAATTCCATCTCGGTACAATCTGTGAACCATTCTGCAGTAAGATTGTCATCGTCTCATTCATACTACCTGGTCGGTAACACAAAGGGCTGTAATTGATGTGGTTCAGAGACTCACATCCAAGCAATAAAAATGAATCCCTTATGGTGGTCTGCAGCAACGCAAATGGATCCAGTGTCTGGCTTTAATGGGAGTGGGGAAATTGCTAACAGATGACGGTAACTTTCAGAGACAGACAGACACAGAGAGAGAGAGAGAGACTCTGGCCTTCCAGCTGAAACCACTTCTGATGGCAGCTCTTCCTCCCACATGTGCCTCACAGACGTCGAATATTTACGGGATGCCCTGAGCCCAGCCCTGCTCAGGGTTTAACAGCAGGGGCCATGTGTGTGTGACGGCTGAGGTCACGCAGTCGTTCATTTCAAGCTGTAGAGACATTTGGTTTTAAAAACCCCAGTGCCTCCACTGGGATTGGCTTTCGGAGAAGAAAAACAGCTCCTGAGTTCTTTTCCTGTCCAAGCCCGGGTGGGATCATGCTGCATTGCCAGCCTCCATTAACCCTTTGGGGCTGAGAAAGTTCTTAAACCTTGTGACTTTCTCCCGGTGATTTTTGCCTTTTTGAGGAAGCTGTGTGAGCTGCAGTGATTTCCTGTGAGCTCAATGAAAATGTGTCTGATGTGTATGCACCTGAGCTAGAAAGCCCAAAGACTGCTAAGAAGCCATGTGAGGGCTCAGAAACAAACATGTTGGGGCTTCGAAAGCCTGTTTTTGGAACCACTTTCCCTGTCTGCAAGGCAGAGGGAGGGAGGTACTCTGTTATTTCTAAGTCTCTCTTGAGCTCTTACACTGTGCAAGCCCATGAACGTATTTAATCGTGCATTAGACAATTGTTTTTAATCTATGCCCTGCCTCTCCCAAGATCAACCTTTCCCTGAGATCGGGGCCCCCTCTGGGTGCACAGGGATATTTTTATTTTTTGAGTTGGAGTTTTGCTCTTGTCACCCAGGCTGGAGTGCAATGGCATGATCTTGACTCACTGAAACCTCTTCCTCCCGGCTTCCAGTGATTCTTCTGCCTCAGCCTCCCAAGCAGCTGAGATTACAGGCATGCACCACCACACTCGGTTAATTTTTGTATTTTTAGGAGAGATGGAGATTCACCATGTTGGCCAGGCTGGTCTTGAACTCCTGACCTCAGGTGATCCTCCCGCCTTGGCCTCCCAAAATGCTGGCATTATAGGCGTGAGGCACCGTGCCCAGCCCATAGGGATATTTTTATATACTTTCCTGCCCCATGGGTCAACTGTTCTTGAACCAAAGAAACAAGAGGCGGGGAAGTTATAGGAAGCTTTTAAAATATGCTTCTGTGCAGCACTGCTCGCAGCGTGTCACAGATGTGCGGTATTGGAAGACGAAGGTGAAACTGCATGGAGATGATTGTGTGGGGGATGAGGAGGTGGTGGGTAGGGGACTTGGCTTTCTTCACACAAAGACATCCAGGCAAATGGTAAGTCCAAAAGCCGTGTGACAGATAATGGCCATTGTTCCTGCAGGGTGACTCTTTTCTTTTCTTTTTTTTCTTTTTGAGGCGGAGTCTCACTCTGTCATCTATGCTGGAGTGCAATGGTGCGATCTTGGCTCACTGCAACTTCCGCCTCCCAGGTTCAAAGTATTCTTTTGCCTCAGCCTCCTGAGTAGCTGGGATTACAGGTGCCCACCACCACGCCCAGATAATTTTTGTATTTTTTTTAGTAGAGACAGGGTTTCACCATGTTGGCCAGGCTGCTCTTGAACTCCTGACCTCGTGATCCGCCCGCCTCAGCCTCCCAAAGTGCTGGGATTACAGGCGTGAGCCACCATGCCCGGTGACTCTTTTCAGTCCAAAGAGTCATCATTGTCACTAGACCACCTTTGAACATGGACAGCAACAGCACTATCTAATATTAACTTTCCCTGAATCAATACCCTCGTTTGACAAATTATAATTTAACAAAAATATGTTTATGTGTAGAAAAAAGACTAGAAGGATGCAGTGTCTCCGTGGGTGAGAAAACACGTGATTTCTGTTTTATTCTCACTCACTTATATTTTCTAAATTTCCTACTGAAAATGTTAATGAATTATTTAGGTAATGAGAACACAATCTTAATCATGTTTAATTGGTTCATAAGGAACGACAGAGCTTGGCAGCTTCTTGCAGGGTGCTTTCTGCCATCCCCAGCTGAGACACCAGTGGGGCTCGGAAGCTGCCCTCCAATGACAGCTGGTGATGACGGGGACACGGCCAGCTCCCTTCTCCTCCCTCTCCGTTGTGATCCGGGCAATTCCATGTACTCCTTTTCCTAAATCAAGAACACTCTTGATTTCTGGCATTAATACCAGCTCCTGACATAGGACCATGTTGCTCCCTCCTTCAAATCTTTCAGACTTCCCTGCACCGTGGCCCTGAAGGGCCCTCCCCTCCTTCCATGGCACTGAGCTTCCAAAGAGCATGGTGGACACCAGGCCACACTCTTTCTTGTGCTGTCCTCTTAATATTTCAGGTCCATTTGTCGGCCACGCCTCCCCGAACCTTCCCACATACCACCTGAGAGAGAGTGGGAATCATGCCATCTCTTCCATTAATGGTAAAGTTAGTACTAATGGTCTAGCTTGGTGCTTCATGTATATTAAGCTCTGAGAAATAAAGGCAAAATGCAGCTGTGTTTGAACTGCACAGATAGCATCGTGCCTGGATCCTGAGAATCTATAAGATGAAGACTTCAAAGCACGGTGGGCAGTTTGCCAAATATCCGAGGAAGAGAAAGTTTCCGGAAAGCAGGGGTCTAACCCCTAGGAGCAGGCATGCATGGGGGCTGGGTGGGAATCCATGCTGGCCTCCATCACCTGTTCACATGTGTCCCTGGGTGGCCGTGGAGAAGTTGTTGCTGGGTAATGGGGGGCTGGAGGTGCTCCCAGCAGGAAGCCCGACGGGAAGTGCAGGCTAGGGTTTTCCTCGGGTACAGGAGAAAGGGAATGGGAAGGATCTTCTCTGAGGTACAACAGGCAAGAACATGGTCCAAGATCCTGTGACCAGCATTGGTCCAAGCTCAGTCGACATAAGCTCCTAGCAGCGGTGGCATCTGGAGTTTGGAGGTTGTGAGTCCCTGCACCAAGTGGCTCCAGCCTGAGTCTCTGCCACGTTCTAGGGATACATCTGCCAAGGTGTGTGTTTGTGTGTGTGTGTGTGTGTAGTGTGCGCGTGCACGTGCAGAGGCCACACAGAGGCTGGGCTGGGGGCTGATGCAGCCTTCCCTTTGCTGCTAGCCCTGCTCCGGCTCACTCATCTCCCACAGCTGTCAGGAAAGAGAGCAGCAGGTGAAAGCAGGCCCGGCTCCTTGTTCCTGGGGAGGCTTAGCTACACCAGCCACCCCTCTGCCTGCCGTGTGGACCTCCAGCTCAGCATTGTCCCTGCAGGAGGCCAGCCCTTGGGGCACCTGGGCCTGGAAGGCTGAGGTACTGCACCCACCCTTGAGGGTTCCCCGCATCTATGCCAGGAACACTGCCTTGGGCTTCCTGAGGGGCGCCGTGAGATACAGGGACAGATGCGGGCAGCCCTCTGGGAGCTCAACTGGGGCCCTGCGGGCTGTGGGGTCAGAGAGCGCATTCCACCTCTGCAGGCCGCCCTGTCACCCAGCAGGGCAGCCTGCGGCACTTAGTGTCTCTGGTTGGTTTGTCAGCTGCACCTCCCTGAACCTTCCAGCGCGCCACGTGAGAGTGGCAATCACATTCTCTCTTCCCCTTTAAGTTAGCGCTAATGGCCTAGTGTAGTGCTTCATGTATATGAAGCCTCAAAAAGTAAATGCAAAATGCACCTGTGCTTGAACTGCACAGACAGCATCATGCCTGGATCCTGGGAATAAGGATCTTATTATTCCCTGGATCCTGGGAATGATAAGATGAAGACTTCCAAGCATCCTGGGCAAAGCTCGACAGATAGGACAGAGAAAAAGAAAGACATGTGAACACCAGGGCGTAGCCCCCAGGAAGGGACACATGTGCGGGAGAAGGGAGGAGCAGGCGTTAAAGCGGGGCAGCCTGGAGGGCCTGGGTGAGGAGTTGAGTCTGGATGCTGGGGCTGCACTCACCCCGCCAGTCTGAAGGGTTCCTGGGCTTTCTCACCCTCCTGACCCCGCCCTCCCCCTGGCCCCTGGAGCGGGAGGGCTTCTGGCTCTGCTTCCTGCTCGAGTGCCCTCCACTCCATCTCTTTGTCATTGCCTTACTTTTTGGGGTGAGTACGAGGACAGAGTTGTAAGACAGTAGATGAACAGTACAGTGAGGTCTGAGACTAGGGGTGCATTTTGGAGAAGGGAGGCAGTTAGGGAGGGCCTGGAGCCCCCAGATCGGGAGAAGGAGGATAGGATAGTATAGAAAGCCAGGAAAAATCTAATCAAGCATAGCATCCAGTTACACTTCAGGTAAAATTCATGAGTCCTATCAAAAAGGCCTGGGGTTGGTTGCAATTAAGGGAGAGCAGCCCCCTCCCATGTGTGGGGTCCCCCGAAACCAGCCAGAGAGCCCCACTGGCAGGAATGGGAGGGTTCCAGGGAGGGGGGGCGCGGTGGGGGCTGGGGCTTGCCTACTGCCGGGTGGAGATTTTCTTTTTCCCTCCCCTGAGGGCCTTTTTCCTTCATGCTGGGTCTCTTTGGAGCAGGTTCGGGAAGTGAGTGGTGAGATGCCACGGTTTACCCCCAAACTTCTGCCTCACCAGCATTTGGAATTCCTGGTGTCAGCCCACTGCTCACTGAACGTTTTGCAAAGACGACATTTCATGAGACTGCTTAAATCAGCCACAAGGGGCCTGCCTGGGTTTGCTTGATCAGATTCTCTAGTCTGGAAACTGTGGGGTGAGGCCCAGCTTTGTGGCCAGATCAGGGCCCTGGAGATGACTTCCTGCCTTTATTCTTTCTAGCTGTGGTCCACCCTGCCCTACATCCAGATTAATCTTTGGAAAACCCCTACCGCTGTTCCTACCGCCATCCCCCTCCCTTTAAAACCTCTGACTCACCCACTACCCACAGGATTGAGACTAAGCTCTTTCCCTGGGCTTCAAGGCTGTCCCCAATTCCTCTCCCACCTTGTGATCCCTCCAGCGCCCCCTTACAGTTCACCCAGCCAGGAAGACGTCTTCATCAGGTCCCCACGAGCCCTGCCTGCTTCCACCCTCAGACCTCTGCTTCCACGCTTTCTCCATGCTGAAGGGAAGCTCAAATTCCATTCATGTCCCAAATCCTCAATGAAGCCTGCCCCGAACAACCTCGGCTGTGATAACCCTTCCCGGAACTTCCATCCCTGCTGTTATTGCAGCAACGCCTGTTTGCTTCTTACCGTTTGTTGCACTGGAAAGCCATAGATTTTTTTGATTCACGTATTCTCTCTAACTAGATAAGAATTCTGTTTTGGTTAAGGACTGTATCTCACACATAGGAGGCTCTGGTGCATGCACTTAATAGTTTCGCAACCCTAAGTGGGGCTTAGGGACAACAAGGCCACTAGGAACCAGGGCTGAGAGGGCTCAGAGGAGGTGGCCTCACATCTCAGGCTCTGGGATGATGCCTGATGAACTGGGGGCTGACAGGAGTCCCAAAGCACTGACTCCTCAGCCGCCGCAGATCAGAGCCTCGGGCTGGGGCTGGGCCATCAGGAATTGCTACAGGTGTTAGGTTGCAGCAGACAGAACCTTTCACCTTGGTTGTTTTCCGTGGAATACTATGTCAAGGAACCTTTGGAAACCAGAAGCAGGGCTGGGAATTGGGCAATGGGAGGGGACCCGCCCACCAGTGCTGCAGATGTGGGTGATGGTGCCTCCAGGACCAGCGGTGCCTGGGCTTCCTGTGCCTCACCCGGGCGCATCTCTGCACGGGCAGAACCTGCCCTCCTGGAGACTGGGCTCACCGGTCACCAGCAAGTCACTCCCCACCCACCTCCTCCCAGCCAAACCTTTGAGTGGCAGGAGGTGTCTTGTGGTTCCGCAGAGCCAGCCAGAGGCCCTGCAGGTGGGGTGAGGGCCTCCAGTGAAATCCACCTGCTCTGCCTCCTGCTTCTCAGTATTGCAACCCCCTTCCCGGTTCCGCTTTCTCTGCTGTTCCTTTTGTTCCTACCTCTGGCTAACCCAGCTTTGTCCCAAGCTGTCAACTCCATCATCTCCCCATTCCCAAGTGCCTCCGAGGGGCACCAGGAAAGCATGTGGGACCCATCCTGGCTGCCCAATAAATGGGCTTCAAAATAGCTTTGCTTAAGCTCCCTGGGGACACTCAGCCTCCCTGGCTCCTACTCCCCCATTTCTCGGTCACACAGTCCCAGCTGTGCCCAGGGAGAGGTTGTCACTCAACAGCCTGGGGCACAAGCCTATTTTTAGGTAGCCCCTGGTCTTCCCCAGCCACCTCCCCAAGAGCCCTCAGGTCCACCCTCCTGGGCTGACAGTGGCTGCATGTCCCTGGGTCTCCTTTAGGAAAGGTGGCCTCGGCTAGAAGCGTCCCGTGCCTAGCAGAGGAAACAGACAGGGAGTAACAGGAGAGGGGTCTTCTGGACAGAGAGGAAGTACTTGCTAAGTTCTGGGTGGGTTCTATGTGGAGTGGAGTTGGGGGACAACTGAGGCTGGTGACACCTGCCTTTATTCTGACTACAGGGGGTCCCAGAAGGCTGGGAAGGGGCCCCAAATTCAAAGAGGTTCTTTCCCTCAGGGCTGTGCAATTCTGTCGAATTCCTCATGACTCTCCTCCTCGCTTCCCTCACCAGTACATGGGTGGCCTTACTTGGTGGTAGGGCATAAAAGGGAAAAGCACTTGGAATGAGCGGCAGAGTGGCTGCCCTTTGATGGATCGCTTCTCTGGGTCTCAGTTTTCACATCTGTCCAGTGGGCATAATGAAATTCCAACCCCATCTATTGTGCAGGGTTGCTGTGAAAACACAACCTCGTACCTGAGGTCACAATGCCAGTGGGACATGATGTGTTTGCGTCACCTTCAAAATGCCCTCTGGTTTCTGGACAGGGATGCAGGAACAGTCCAGCACTGGAGAGAAGCTGCCTACTAGCTGAGTGCAAAGCCACGAGGGTGGTGCCTGTCACCTCGTCATTTTTCCAGTAGAGTCACACGTCAGTCTTCACCCACCGGTCTCTGAGGGCCCCTGGGTGAGGACCCCAAGTCTACGGTAGGAGGGGGCGCCTGGCTGTCATATTCTGCAGAGCAGACCTTGCTCTAGTGAACACTGAGGGTCTCTCGAAATGAAACTCTGATGTCAGTGCTCAAAGTCAACCCCCCAACAGGGGCAAGGAGGGGAATAAACAACAGCCAGGCCTGGGGAGCGCTCGCCCCTCCTGCCATGCGTGGCGTGTGAGTGAAGCCCCTGCCAGCATCAGGCCTCTGACATTCCCGAGGACATGGCTGCAGCCCCCGGAGGTGCTCCTGGTCCTGGAGCAGCCCCACCTGGTCCCAGGGGCTCAGGCTAGGTGAGCTGTGAGAGGGGAACTCAGAGCCAGCCCGGCCAGTGCCAGCTGTTGTTCCCCCGCCAGCTTGGCATCTCGAGGAGGGGTCATAACAAAAGAGACAGGGCCACTCCCTGAGCTGCAAGTTCTGGCCGGGAATCCAGTGGCGTCTGGGGGCCCCGCAGACAGCAGCCTGCCTTTCATGTGCTGAGCTGGGGGCCTGGAGGAAACATTTTCCATGCCTGCTGCCAAATTTCCTCAAAGAACAATGCAAGAGAAGATGCTGTTTTGCAGTCAGGGAAGCTGGAAGGGGGCGGTGGTGCAGGTTTCAGGAAGGTCAGAAGTCAGGCCATGAGCCTCTGGGAAGCTGCGCCCCCTCCCCTAGTAGAACAGGCATCCTGAGACTGTTCCCCTCCCGTGCCCAGGCCCTTCTCAGGGCAGGAGCTGCCGTCATTGTCATTTGCAGGGCACTTGGGCGGGTTGTAGGAAGCGGCTGCCCCAGCAGAGATGGCTGGTTTCCCCTGCTTCCCAGAGCTGTGGTGTCTAATTAGTGAGATGGAGGTGAAGGACACCTCTCAGTCATTGCTGCTGCTGCGAACAGCTGCCAACGTCATCACAAGGCATTTGTCAGGGGCCTGCAGGACTCACTGTAAGATGTGTGAACCCAAAAGTATCTGAGACAGGTCTCAATCCATTTCGAAAGTTCATTTTGCCAAGGTTAAGGACATGCCCGTGACACAGCCTCAGGAGGTCCTGACAACAGGTGCCCAAGGTGTTTGGGACTCAGCTTGGTTTTATACATTTTAGGGAGACATGAGACATCAATCAATATGTGTGAGATGTACATTGGTTTGGTCCAGAAAGGTGGGGCAACTCAAAGTGGGGGCTCCCAGGTTATAGGTAGATAAGAGACAAACAGTTGCATTCTTTTGAGTTTCTGATTAACTCAAATTAGCCTTTCACTGAATACACAATTTACATGTGAGAGAGGGGTAGGGGAACAATCACTGATGCCTCAGTCTGGCTCAGTGAATCTGCGTTTTTACATAGACAATAGAGCAGAGGAAACCATCACATATACACTGGTCTCATATGAACAGAGGGATGACTTTGAGTTCCATCTGTTCTTTGTCCACGAGGAATTTCCTTGTGGGTAAATTGTGAGCAAGGTATGTAAATTTTTGTCTGTGTAGTGATCTTATTTACGAATAAAATAGGAGGCAGGTTTGCCTGATGCAGTTCCCAGCTTGACTTTTCCCTTTGGATTAGCGATTTTAGGGTCCCAAAATGTATTTTCCTTTCACAGATGTTTTATGAAGACACTATCTCTGCTTTCTAGAAGATTCTAGTCTACATGGAAAAGGCAAGCAAGCATGGCAGAGTGAAAGGCAGCACTGTGGGTTAAGACCATGGACTCTGGAGTTTGCTGCCTGGTCTAAATCCCTAGTTACTTATGGGTCATGTACCATGCCTCAGTTTACCCCTCCAAAAATGAGGATGAAGATAACAACAGTGTCTCCTTTATGGAGTTGTTATAAGGATGAAATGAGTCACTGTTTGCAAAGCTCTTAGAACAGCATCTGGCGTCACACACCTGCAGTGTTTGCAAAATAAATAATACAAGAGTAAAATACAAAATTGGGCCTTGACAACTGGGATGAGACCACATTTAGTTTTGAAGATGAGGTTTGGCAGTTTTCCATCATGAGGGTTTTTTTTTCTAAGCATGGTTTCCATTGCTCCAAATCTGTTTTGGGTTTGTGGGAAAGGCAAATGGGAAAGAATGTGATTCTGAAATGCAGGGAACTTTACAAAGCTTTCAAAGATCACAGCTTCACCTTCCCGAGAGCAACTCCTGAAAACAGAGACCTGTGTTTCTGCAAAGCACTGTGCAAGTCGCCTCTCCAACAAGTCTGGGTGGATGGAGAAGTTTCCAGGCTCCCCTGAAATCAACACTCTCGTGTTGATGGGGAGAAATTAAGAACAAGAGGATTTGGCTAAGGTCCCAGCGTGCGATGGCGTCTGAGCTGAAGTGCTGGGCTGCCTACAGAAATCTCTTCTAGAGATTGAGCTGGAGTAGGATTTCTCTCCTCTGAACAAGTAGATGATTATACAATGTTCCATTCTCAGGGGGTAAAGCCCTCTCCAGTCTTCCCAAGACCCAGTGAAGAAGAAGAGAGGGTTCCTAGCTAAGGAAGGGAGACAAGGGTGGTGGCTTTCCACGGCTCCCGCACGTGCTGGGTGTGAAGCTGGTAGTGGAAGTGTGTTTCCTCAGCAGCTGTGAGTCCTCAGAATACTGGGTCCCCACGGACCAGCCAGCAGAGGGACAGCCCTTCCTTAGTGGGGCTCTCCAAGGGCCATAGGAGCACCATGGGCTGGTGCATGTGGCCTCGGGCTGCTCTGGGGAGAGGGTCATTGGTCCCTCTTACTCACCTCCTGTCGGGAGTGGCCAGACACAGCCTGACCATACAAGGGTGACTAGGAGTTTAGGTTCGAGAGTATTGAGGGTGGCCAGGCATTCCGAGTCCAGGGCCCTCCAGGCAAAAACAACTCATCAACCTTTTGAAAGCAACAGCTGAGTCACTAATACCATTAGCAACCAGAATTTGCACTTTCGGTGTGCCGGCATTCTTCTGAGTGTTTTACCTAGAGTCACTGACTCAATTCTCACTGAAACCCTAGGAGGGAGGCAGTGCTATTGCCTCCATTGTATAGATGAGGCAACTGACACTCAGAGAGGTGAAGTAACTTCCTCAAGGATACACAGCTTATAAACACTGGGATTCACACCCAGTTAGTTTGGCTCCAGCATTCCTGCTTTTGACCCCAACATTACACAGCCTCTGATTTATACAATTACAAACATTTTAAATACTGGAAGCTGAATTCAAACTGCATCCACCAACTTGACTTCTAAGACCCCATACACTTTACCTGAGGGGTGCTCAGCCACCAGGCAAAGAATGGGCTGCAGTGACACACTGGCACACGTGCCTCCCGCTTGCGTCTGTGTTCTAAGCTGCTGCGTCCCTGTTGATGTGCACTGAGCTTGCGAGTGATTTGGACTCTCGAGACAATTTCTTTTTTCTTTTCTTTTTTTTTTTTTGAGACGGAGTCTCGCTCTGGCTGGAGTGAAGTGGCGTGATCTTGGCTCACTGCAACCTCCACCTCCTGGGTTCAAACAATTCTCCTGCCTCAGCCTCCCAAGTAGCTGGGATTACAGGTGCCCGCCACCATGCCTGGCCATTTGTTTTTGTATTTTTAGTACAGACGGGGTTCTACCATGTCGGTCAGGCTGGTTTCAAACTCCTAACCTCAAGTGATCCACCTGCCTCAGCCTTCCAAAGTGCTAGGATTACAGGCCTGAGCTACCGCGCCCGGCCTCTCGAGACAATTTCTGTTCAGCCAACTTTTCCTATATCTTTCTCAAAATTATTAGTTTCCGCCCACTGTTCCAATCGAATATGGTCTCTTTTATGAATACCAGCTCTGTCGCCTGCAGCACATTTGCTCTCCCTGGAAGCTTTGGGTCATTTGTGGATCTGGACAGCGTGTTTTCACTGAAGCCGCTGGGTGAGAACAGTGGAGGCGCAGGCGCAGGCTGGGGGCTGGGCAGACACTTCCTTTAGGTGCTGCTGTGTATTCAGCTATGGATCCATCCACTGTGCACTCCCATCCAGCCGGTTTGTCCCAGAGGTGGTGGTAGGGAAGTTCCAGGACATTCCTGTTTCCTCCGCTGCCTTCTCTCTTAGCTGAGCCCTTTCTCACCTTTCCTCCCAGACCCTGTTCCCTCCCCTTACTTGCGGGGCATCCTCGGGGACAGGTTCTGAAACCACAGCTGTGGGCCAGCGTTCCACCTATTGTCTGCGAGCCAGCAGAGCAGAACAAACCTGCCTGAGATTCTCATTACAGCTTGTGATTTGGGAGACGGGCCAGCTGCGGCTGTTGCCAGGGCAACCAGTGGTGCGGAAAAAGGTAACAAAAAAGAGCCTGGAGCCTCTTGACCGGACTTCAGGAGTGAAGGAGTGGAGGGGAGGGCTCGGGCTTGCCATTCAGGAGCGATTGTTGACATGTCAACTGCAATCCCTCTGCCCCTCTCCAGGCCGGGACAGCCCCCAGCACAGCGCCCTGCCATGCACCACCAGCATGTGCCTGCTCTGTGTCTGTGTTTTCAGGGGTCCACTTGGCCCTGCGTAGCCTTTTCTCTTTTATGCATTTCCCCACTCACACTTGAATGTCTTCAATTCCTTCCTCCCTTTCTCTCATTCTCTTCTGCAGCCCCTTTCCCTCTCCTTTCCCACGTACCAGAACATCAGCCTCAAAAGATTAAAAGAAAATTAGCCAGGGGTGGTGACACGTGCCTGTAATCTAGCTACTCAGGAGGCTGAGGTGGGAGGCTCTCTTGAGCTCAGGAGGTGGAGGCTGCAGTGAGCTGTGATTGTGCCACCGCACTCCAGCCTGCGCGACACAAGTCCCCATGTCTCTAAAATAAAATTTAAAAAAATAATAAAATGAAATGTAAATAAGGCACGGGAGGGAACTGATGGTCCTGTGCTGGCAGATCCTGCGGCCTCAGCACCTAAGCGGCCAATGGGCAAAGGTGGTGAATTCAGCCTGTCTAGATAACCTGTGATTCATTGGTTGGGCAGTGATTTGTGACGAGCCCTGGGACGGTTTCTTTCCAGTTACCCACTGGACGTCTTGTGCTGCCATATCCTGGGGAGCCAGAGGGGGGCATTTTCCTTTGAAGGCTTTGAGAGTCATAGCCAAGCCCTTTTCTCCATGGCGTCCCTCCCTGACCCCACCCAACATTTCAGGAGTTAACCTTCCTAAGAGCCGAGCTCTGGCCGTTTTACTCATCGAAGAGGGAATCCCCTACACATTTTAGGTACTCACGCAGCTCGCTTGCCTGAGCACAGGCTTCGACCTTTACCTCACTTCTGGTAGGAGGTCTGTTTCATTCCCATCCAATCTGCAGGTTTTTCCCTAATCCCTTAAGGAAGCAGTAACTTCATGTTTCTCAGAATATCCTGATTGGAAGAATCACTCGGCAGCTTAGAGCACAGATTCCTGAGCCGCATCTCAGACCTACTGAATCAGAAACTCTGGGGAAGTTATCTGGGAATCTGCTTTAGAAAAATTGCCCCCGGTGATGCTCATGTTAGGAGAGGTTTGGGGAACAAAGCCCAAGTGCTGATTTTCGCTTCTCGGGCTCAGCACTTGGGTTCTGTCTGGGCCTCAGGGTACTCTTTCATCTGCAAGGTGGAACTGATCCTCACAGCTCTGCTATCCTGCCCACAAACTTCCCAGACCAGGGAGGCTCTGGGGAGGCATGGCCGGCCTGGTGCTGGCCCAGTGTGGTCAGGACTAGGTCATGCCCCTGTTGCCCATGGCTCACCATGCTGTGGATATCACATCCATCCATGCCTATTGGCTCATGGCAGCTTAAGCCCTAGAAAGAACAGGTGGGAGAACTTTAGCTCTATGTGCCCACCAGGGATCTCACACCTCCTGGCTGCAGGAGCTGGACGGGAGGTCACCTGGCTTTGATGTAAGCTGCCACCTCTTTATGCATCCATCCTGCGAGCACTTGACATGCTATTGCTCTGCGGCATCGTGGCAGCGCTGTATACCGAGAGGAATGCAGGGTTTAGGGCTCAAAAGCTCTGGTTGAATCCTGGCTGCCACTTGCTACCTGTGGGGTCCTGGAGCACTTCCTTTCCTTATCTGTAAAACATGGATAACAACCAACTTCACAGGGTTGCTGTGAAAATTAAGTATGAAAAATTTCCAGCAGAGTGCTTTGCAGATAGAGAACTCGATGCATGTCAGTTCCCTTTCTGTTCATTTTCTCTCTTCCTGTTCAGGTACAGGCTGATTCATTAAACCTCTCTCACTTCTTCTTTCAGATCCCATTAAAACACTTCTGAAGAAAGGTCAAGATACAAAAATCAATTGTATTTTCATATAGTAGCACCAAACATTTGGGAACTGATATTTAAAAAACCAATTCCATTTACAATAGTGTCAAAAAACATAAGATAATTAGCAACAGATTAATAAAAGATGGGAAATATTCAATATCAATACTGAAAACACAAGATGATGCTGAGAGAAATTAAAGAAGATGTAAATACATGGAAAGATATACTATGTTCATGGATTGGACAACTCAGTATTAATATGTCAGTTCCCCCTAAGCTGAAGTATGGCTTCAACACAATCCCAATAGGCTTTCATTTAAAACAAATATAAATTGACAAATGAATTTTAAAATTTGGAAATGTAGAGACTTAGAATAGGCAAAACAATTTAGGAAAAGAAGAAAAAGTTGGAGAGCTTACACTACCTAACATCAAGTTTTACTGTAAAGCTAGCTATTTAAATAGTGTGGTATTGACCTAAGAATAGACAAATAGATGAGTGGAGCTCAGAAGTAGACCCACACTGACATGAACAATTGACTGTTGACAAAATTATCAAAGCAATTCAACAGGGAAAGGATGGCCTTTTCAACAAATGGTGGTGGTGGTCAGGCGTGGTGGCTCATCATGCCTGTAATCCCAGCACTTTGGGAGGCCAAGGCAGGCGGATCACCTGAGGTCAGGAGTTCGAGACCAGCCTGGCCAACATGGTGAAACCCCATCTCTACTAAAAATACAAAAATAAGCCAGGCCGGGGGATGGGGGCACCTGTAATCCCAGCTACTTGGGAGGCTGAGGCAGGAGAATCACTTGAACCCGGGAGGCATAGGTTGCAGTGAGCTGAGACTGCGCCATTGCACTCCAGCCTGGGCAACAAGAGAGAGACTCCATCTCAAAAAACAACAAACAAACAAACAAACAAAACATCCCCTCCCCAAAAAATGGTTCTGGAACAGCTGAATATCCATGGGAAAAACATTAACTTTGACTATTCCCTCGCCATACACAAAATTAAGTCAAGATTGGTCATAAACTCAAATATGAAAGCAAAACCCATAAAAGCTTTTTGAAGAAAATGGGAAATGAAGGATAATATCTTTGTGGTCAAGGAGCAGACAAAGATTTCTTTGTTAGAATACAGAAAACAATAACCATGAAATAAACAGTTAATGAATTAGACGTTAAAAAAATTAAAAACTTCTGCTCATCAAAGCAAGCGTCATAATGGACAAGCCACAGACTCAGAAAAATATTTGCATTTGCAAAACCTGTGTCTGACAAAGGATTTATGAGAATTTATAAAGAACTCCTACAACCTAATAATAAAAACACAAACAGCCCAATTAAAAAATGGGCAAAAGTCTTGATGGCCCCTCCTTATTTCTTTATAGAAATATATTAGGGTCAGAGGCAGTGGCTCACACTTGTAATCTCAGCACTTTGGAAGGCTGTGGTGGGCGGATCACTTGAGGTCAGGAGTTCAAGACCAGCTTGGCCAACATAGTGAAACCCTGTCTCTACTAAAAATACAAAAATTCGCCAGGTGTGGTGGCACATGCTGGTAATCCCAGCTACTTGGCAGGCTGAGGCGGGAGGATCACTTGAACTCAGGAGGCAGAGGTTGCAGTGAGCCGAGGCACTGTACTGCAGCCTGGGCTCAGAGTGAGACTCTATTTCAAAAAAAAAAAAAAATATATATATATATATATACACACACATATATTTTCAACTGGCCAATAAATAAATGAAAAGATGCTCAACATTATTACTTCTTAGAGCAATGAAATGAAAACCACAATGCAATACTACGTCCCCCACTAGAATGGCTAAACTTAAGAAGCTTTACGACATCAAGTGCTGGCAAGGACAGGGGGCAACCTGAACTCTCTCATATGTGGCTGGTTGGAGTACAGGATGGTGTAACCACCTTGGAAAAGGGTTTGGTGCTTATAAAGTTAAACAAATACCTACCCTATGACCCAGACATCTCACTGCAAGATATCTATCAAAAGGAAATGAAAGCATATGTCTACAAACAACCTGTACAAGAATGTTCATAGCAGCTTTATTTATGATAGCGAAAACCGGGAAGCAACGTCTATCAGAAAGAGAATGAATGAACGAATTCTGTTATATTCTCATAACGGACTCCTGCACCACAATGAAAAGAACTAAAAAGACATGGATGAATCCTGCAGACATGGCACCGAGCCAAAGAAGCCGGATACAGAAGAGTGCACGGATGTGTGGATGTTTTTTTTTTTTTTCGAGATGGAGTCTCACTTTGTTGCCCAGGCTGGAGTGCAGTGGCATGATCTTGGCTCACTGCAGCCTCTGCCTCCCTGGTTCAAGCAATTCTGCTGCCTCAGCCTCCTGAGTAGCTGGGGTTACAGGCGTGCACCACCATGCCCGGCTAATTTTTGTATTTTTAGTAGAGAGGGGTTTCACCATGTCGGCCAGGCTGGTCTTGAACTCCTGACCTCAGGAAATCCACCCGCCTTGGCCTCCCAAGTGCTGGGATTACAGGCATGAGCGACAAGCCTGGCCCCCTTTTTTTTTTTTGAGACAGAGTCTTGCTCTGTCTCCTAGGCTGGAGTGCAGTGGTACGATCTTGGTTCACTGCCTCCCAAGTTCAAGTGATTTTTGGTCCTCAGCCTCCCGAGTAGCTGGGATTACAGGTGCCCACCACCACACCCAGATAATTTTTGTATTTTTAGTAGAGATAGGGTTTAGCCATATTGGCTAGGCTCGTCTTGAACTCCTGATCTCAAGTGATCTGCCTGCCTCAGACTCCCAAACTGCTGGGATTACAGGCGTGAGTCACTGCGCCCAGACTTGCTTCCATTTAGATGGAGCCCCAGCTCAGCAAACCCAGTCTATATTGAGAGAAATCAGATCCGTGGCTGCTGCTGGGTGAGAACTTGGTCAGGAGGGGGCCAAATGGAGCTTTCTAGCATGGTAAACACATGCCATATGACTTGGTAGGGATGTGAGCCGCATGCATGGATTGTACATTAAAATGCACTGGACTGTACATTTCAGGTTTCATTGTGTGTAAATTTTACTTCTGAAACACTATGAACAGATATTGACCCTGGTGAGTAGGTTTGCTTTTCTCAGTGGTAGGGGTTAACAATTCTGAAACCATTTTCTGTTTACCAGAGGTTTAAGCAAGTGAGAAAACGTAATAAAATGGGAGGCAGCCTTCTGGCTGGGAAGGGGCAGAGTATCTGTGACCTTCTGCTGGTTCCCGATAATGGCCTTGGGGTCCGTCTCCCAAGCACCTCTGCTGGGGCTGCCCCTCAGCCCTCCCGCGTGTTGGGGCGGTGGTGGGGACAGTTCCCATGTGTGTTCGTGAAGCCCGCCCAGAACTTCAGCACCTTGGGCCGGGCACGGTGGCTCACACGTGTAATCCCAGCACTTTGGGAGGCTGAGGCGGGCAGATCATGAGGTCAGGAGTTCAAGACCAGCCTGAACAACTTGGTGAAACCCTGTCTCTACTAAAAATTACAAAAATTAGCCGACTAAAAATTACAAAAATTAGCCGGGCGTGGTGGTGCGTGCCTGTAATCCCAGCTACTCAGGAGGCTGAGGCAGAAGAATTGCTCGAACCTGAGAGGCGGAGATTGCAGTGATCGGAGATCGTGCCATTGCACTCCAGCCTGGGCGACAGAGTGAGACGCCATTTCAAAAAAAAACGAAGAACTTCAGCACCTTTAACATTGGGCACACGCTGAGCTGTAAGTAGGGGACGGAGGTGCCAGAGGAGGGACAAAGGATAACCAAGGCCTCCTAACACCTGGGCCATGGGGGTTTAGGCATGCATCGTTTTTAGCTTCTTGTCGTGGAGATCACGCTGTGTATTTCATTATACATACTTTGCATTCATTTAGGTTGCTTGCTTGGTTCATATACACACCCTTTACCTCTATGGGGATGATGTGCTGAGGAACAAGGCGTGTGTGGGGTGTGTGTGTGTGGGGTGTGGCTGTGGTGTGTGTGCGGGGTGTGCGTGTGTGTGGGGGTGTGTGTGCGGGGTGTGTGTGTGGGGGTGTGTGTGCGGGGTGTGTGTGTGGGGGTGTGTGTGTGCGGGGTGTGTGTGTGTGTGGGTGTGTGCAGGGTGTGCGTGTGCAGGGTGTGTGTGTGCGGGGTGTGTGTGTGCGGGGTGTGTGTGTGCGGGGTGTGTGGGTGCGGGGTGTGTGTGTGCAGGGTGTGTGGGTGCGGGGTGTGTGTGTGCGGGGTGTGTGTGTGTGCGCGGTGTGTGTGTGTGCGGGGTGTGCGTGTGCGGGGTGTGTGGGTGCGGGGTGTGTGTGCGGGGCATGTGTGTGGGGTGTGTGTGTGCGGGGTGTGTGTGTGGGGTGTGTGTGTGGGGGTGTGTGTGCGGGGCATGTGTGTGGGGCGTGTGTGCGGGGTGTGTGTGTGGGTGTGTGTGCGGGGTGTGCGTGTGCAGGGTGTGCGTGTGCGGGGTGTGCGTGCGCGGGTTGTGTGTGTGCGGGGTGTGTGTGTGCGGGGTGTGTGTGTGGGGTGTGTGTGTGGGGTATGTGTGTGCGGGGTGTGTGTGTGTGGGGGGTGTGTGTGCGGGGCATGTGTGTGGGGTGTGTGTGTGTGCGTGCGGGGTGTGTGTGTGCGGGGTGTGTGTGCGCGGGGTGTGTGGGTGCGGGGTGTGCGTGTGCGGGGTGTGTGTGTGCGCGCGGTGTGTGTGTGCAGGGTGTGTGTGCGCATGTGCATGTGTGTCTGAGTGTGTCAGCATGTGCCTGTGAGCGTATACATGTGCAGGCGTGTGCAGGCTCGGGTGTCAGCATCTGAGCATGTGCACACTCGCAGGGGAGCTCTGGGGCCCAGGGCTGCCTTCTGTTTCCCTGAGTACAAGGTCCTGAGCTCAGGGACTAGGCCCTGAGGAAACAGGAGCCCAGCTCTTGGAACGTCCCAGGAACCCCTACTAGAAACACGTGCGTTTCAAGGAAAAACTGAAGGTTTTTCTTTGGTGTCTGGCATCTGCGTCTTTCCCTCTCTTTAGCCCCTGACTGCTCCTCCTTGTCCCCACTGAGAGGGAGTGGCAGCAAAGGTCTGGGGGGACCAAGGGCAGAGAAGCTGTGTGTGTGCAGGGAGTAGGGGCTGTGGCCTCTTCACAGGAGTGAGAGACGGAGACAGAGACAAAGAGAAAGACAGAGAGAGACAGGGAGAGACACAGAGAGACAGTGAGAGAGAGTGACAGAGACACAGAAAGAGACACAGAGACAGAGACCGAAAGATGGAGACAGAGACAGAGAGAGACAGAGAGAATGAAAGAGAGTGACAGAGAGACACAGAAAGAGACACAGAGACAGAGACAGATGGAGACAGAGACAGGGAGACAGAGACAGATAGAGACAGAGAGAGACAGAGACAGAGAGACAACGAGAGTGAGAATGACAGAGAGATACACAGAAAGAGACACAGAGACAGAGGGAGAGTGAGACAGAGAGAGAGAGACAGAGAGAGAGGGAGAGACAGGTAGAGAGGGAGGGAGGGAAGGAGGGAGGGAGGGAGTGGGCACCATGGGTCTGAGGCTGTGTTTGGGGGAGGGTGGCGCAGCAGGCAGGAGAGCCCAGGAAAGGGTGGGCCTGGCCTTGGCCTGTGCTGCTCCTGTGCCCCTGCTGAGGGAGAGACCTCCTGGCATCCGCTGCGGGCGCTGGGCCCACCCCCGAGCTTGTTTCTGAGCTGCCGGGCAGAGGACATACTGGGCAGAACAGGCCTCGGTCTGGGGCAGGTGGCAGAGGGGAAAGATGCCCCTCTCACCCGGCCCCCACCCAGCTGGCCAGGAAGGCCCCTTGTCCCCTCCTGAGGCCCACCCTCAGCCACCTGGTCTGAGCAGGTGCAGGTGAGACCGCGGAACAGCCAGGTCCTCTCCAGTCACACCTCTCACCGCTCGCGTTCTGTGTGGCTCTGGCGAGCCCATTAGTGCCTGTCAAGAGCCTCCCTCGGAGCCACAGCTTCTCTCCGCCAGGTCCTGCTTTGGGGTCACAATAAAGCCCTCACCTTGTGGGGGGCTGGTTTCTGTGACATCCACGCCGTTAGATTAACGACAGAAATGAGGTAGTTCCCCCTTTAAGGAATTAGGCACAAAATCAGCATGTGACTCATCGGCCCCCACAAGTTTACAAGGGAGTTGAGTAAAAGCAACCTCACAGGGATAGAGCAGTGCCAGGAGAAAATGGAAACATCTTTCCTTTAACTCTGGAATGTGTTACGGCTCTTCCTGCTTTCTGAGCGCCGCCACCTTTCGAGGGCCTGTAATTAGGAAGGAACCTTTTCTCTTGGGGTTATTGATGCTTTCCCTTCTCACTCGGCACAAATATTCAAGAACGATCTCTCTCCTTCACCTACAGACCACCCAGTCTGTGCCGAGTGCCTGCCTCCCGGGGCCACGTGGTGGATCAGAGACCACTGCTGTGCTGGGTGAGACCAGGTGCCATCCAGCCCAGGAGCAGCGAGAGTCTCAACTGCACGGGGCTGCCACCTGCCTCACACACACACTCTAATCCCAAGGCCATGGGACTTTATAAATGGGGAACCAGAGGCACAGAGAATGAAAATGCCATGGCTAGTAAACGAGATGAGGGCCAAGCCACGCTCCTACCCCTGCCAGGATGGCCTTGTGGGAGTGACGGGTCAGAGAGGGCTCATCACAAGCAAGTGACATCCATGTGGGGGCCCAAGCAGGAGGCTTTCCAGAGAAGGAAGGCATGGAGAAGAGGGACCTGGTCCCTGCAGTGTGGGTGGGGCAGGAGGCTGTGCCCTGCAGGGGTGTGGGAGAGCAGCTTGGACCTGGGCAGGCAGCGTCCGAGCGTCTGCACGGGCTGGCTGTGCATCTGTGGACGTGCCTTTGAGTGTCCCGTAGCCTGTATTATTTAAGGTCACTGCGCGTTTACGATGACTGCCAGAAAGCAGCAGGTGCCTGTGAGTGCAGCTGGGACCCTGCCCTGTGGCCTTTGGATCCTGAAGAATGTGCTGGATCATGAACCAGGTGCAGGGGAGGGTGAAGTCCTGCAGCAGAAAGGCATGTGATGGAGAGGAGGTCTCCCTCGCGGCGGGACCCCAGGCAGGCCACTTTCTGTGAGCCTCGGTTTCCTCATCCATGACACCGGGCCCTCAGGGGTGGCTGAGAGGATGGAATGGGTTAATAGATGATCAGCATTTGTCCCATGAGCGTTCTCTGTAAGAGCTGGGGGGTGGCGTCATTGCGTTGCTGTGATAAGGGTCGGGACCCCTGGGTTCCAGCCTTACTCTTCTTACTCAGTTCCTCTCATCCCCGCAGCCTCTCTGCACCTCTCTCTTCCCCTTCTTGGTGCCTTTCACTCAGACTGTGACTGGTCCAGAGAAATCTGTGTGTGCCGGCCCTTCGAGGGGGCTCCTGCATGGGGGCAACCCCGCCGCCCCACCTGCTGACCTCATGAAGTCTCATAACCTGATTCTTCTTTCTCGGCTGGCTGTGCAGCAGGCCTGGGCAGCCCGGGAGCTTCTGCCCGTCAGATAATTAAATTCCTCGTGTATTTATCAGGCCGAGAACACCCTGTACCACTCACTCTGGTGGAGCAGCTGCCTATTGTCCTGAACCTCCTGTAAGATGACCTCGTAGCAGGCCCAGGCACTGCAGGAAGTTGCTGGGTGCGTGGAGGTGGATGCTGTTCTCAGATGTCACACACACAGAGCCAGCATCTCACGCCAGTGACAGAGCCGCTGAGGTGTGATGAAGGCCGGATTTGCAACTTAATGGGCCCTGACCTAGGAACCCAGTTTGGCTGCTAGAGGTTTCTGGTCCTCAAATAACAATAACCACCTCCTGGGGCTATCATGAGAATTTTATGAGATAATGCATCAAAAACTCTTAGCAGAGACCTTGACTCATGGCGAGTTCTCAGTAAGTTGTGAGACTATGCACCAACTTCCTTTACGGGATGAATACGGAACACTGGTTGATTTGCTCACGTTTCCAACCTGGGACACTCGATGCCACTGACTTATATATCTGCATAGCCCGCCAGCCTGCGAGTCCTTCCAGCTCTGCTTGCTAAATTGTCACATCTGCCCTAGAAGATGTCAGTCACCCAGTGGAAATGTCTCCAGGGAAGTGGATATTCCTGCTAGAAGTGGACTGGGTGGGAGTTGGGAGTCTCAGTGTATTCTCTGGCTGCTCTCGTCACTTGCCCGCTGCATGATTTCTCTTTGCTTAATGTTTAATTTCTCTCAGGGGCCTGGATGAGCTGGGTTAAATAACTCTGGTGAGGGAGCCTGGAGGATCACTGGGGAAAGTCATCGTCTTTGTCCTCAGCAGTGTATTTAATCCTCTGAACTTTAGGTTTCCCTCTCTTCCCTCCCTCCCTCCCTCCCTCCCTCCCTCCCTCCCTTCCTTCCTTCCTTCCTTCTTTCTTTCCTTCCTTCCTTCCTTCTTTCCTTGACAAGGTCTCATTCTGTCACCCAGGCTGGAGTGCAGTGGCATGATCTCAGCTCACTGCAGCCTTGACCTCCTGGGCTTAAGCGATCCTCCCACCTCAGCCTCCTGAGTAGCTGGGACTACCTGTGCACACCACCATGCCTGGCTAATTTTTGTATTTGTTGTAGAGTCAGGGTCTCACTATGTTGGCCAGGTTGGTCTTGAATTCTTGGGCTCAAGTGATCCTCCCACCTCGGCCTCCCAAAGTGCTGGGACTACAGGCATGAGCCACCACACCCAGCCAACTTTAAGTTCTTTATGCTGTCATGCAGGCCTGCATGGCCCAATGGATCAGCTCCAGACTTTGTGGCCATAAAAAGCCGCGTGAGCAAGTGCATCACAAGCACATGCCAAGGAGAGGCAGAAGGAAGCATTTTGGTGCTTGTCTGGAGAAGGCTGAATGGAACTGGGGAGGAGGTTTTTGGATCTGTGTGAGCCCATCCCAGTGAAGAAGCAAAGAGCCACTCTTTCTAGTGCTGGGCGTGTAGAGCTTGGGGCTTTGCAATCCGAATGGGTTTGAGAAGTGGGCAGGCCTACAGCTGTTGGCCGAGTGCTCAGAGGCTGCAGACATGCTTGTTCTTGTATGTGAGATGTGGCAATGACAAGAAGAGAGAGGTTAGGAGGCTGATGCGGCTCCTCCAAGCCTAGGGATGGACTCTTGGGGTTCTGCCTCCTGGAGGGGCAGGAGTGACCCAGACCCTTCTGCAACAGCTCCAGCTCCTGGAGGATGGGGCGCCAGCTGCCCTGAGTGGTGCTGGCCACTGTGCCACCTGGCTGTCGCCCTCTAAGAAGGTCCTGCTGTCATGCCTTCCTCCTGACTGCTGACAAATATTCTCGGGGGAAGAAGCTGGTACGGAGCCTACTGGTTGTGCTCTGAGAAACCTCTTCCATGGCTAAAACCAAATTTCAGGATAGATAAGAGCAGCTCCTCAGAAGAGAAAGTTGGGAATCTCTGACCTGGATCAGGAGCAAACACATCCAAGCCCCTAATGGTGCATAAGCGCGGTGTTAAACGGCTCTGTTCCCGGCCAGCCCGGACCAAACCTACAGCCCAAAGGGGGAAGAAAACCCATCAACGAAATCACTTTTAAGATCCATGGTTGTCCCCCATTCGATAACCATGAATCGACTGTCCAGGCTGCATTTATCCAGCTGCAAGAATTCTAAAGAGAATGAGTTGCCCACTGATGCCCCTGGGCTGGGCCCAAGGTGTGGGGCCAGGTGTGAGGAGCTGTACCGGCCCCAGGAGGCGCCCATGTGGAGAATCTCTGTCCTTTGCACCTGGACCTGTGGGCTTTGAGAGCTCGGGCCCCAATTATGGCCAGAGCTAGGGTTGGTCTTCCTCTGCCCTGCAAATCCCAGATGTAGTAAGCATTCAGTACATTGTGTTAATAAATATCCATAAACTTGCATCAACTTATAAAAAGTATTGATAAATTTTGCTTCCATTCACCTTAGTGAGTAGATGGTCCATGGGATGAACCTTGATCCAAGAACCCTTCCGTCTGACTCCACCATCCAACGAGTTTTGGCTGCCAGCAAACTACCTCCTCTGGACCTTTGATCTCAGGTCCAGAGAACAAAGGCTGTGATCAGGAACGCAGGGTCCCCGAGGATAAGGACCTGGGCTCCTGTAGGGGCCTGGCGCTGGGCCTGGGAAGCTCTTTGTTTGAGTGTCCAAGCCTGGAGTGTGCGGGTCCCCACCCAGTAAGCACACCACTCACACTTGTAAACAAGGCATAAAACACACATTTGTGTAAATGCATGAACAAAAATGCAAGGAGGTTCAAACTCTGTCGCTATGAATAGATAGGACTTTGTTTACAAAGCAATGGGTTCTATGAACAGAAGGGACCTGCTGAACCTCTGAGCCCTGTCCCTCCATCTGTTTGCAGCTGTGAAGGTCAAAGTTCTCTGGGACACCATGATCTTGGGATCCAGTCCCTAGGGCTAGACTGTCCCAGGATGGAGAATATTATAATACTAGTTTCTAGATATCAACCACCGCCTCTGTTCCAGTGCATTAGGTACACGAATCCTTCTAATTACTCTGCGAGGTGGGTTTTGTAAATCCATTTAGCAGTTGAGAAAACTGGCACTCAGAGAGGTTGAGCAATTTTTCTGTGATCACACAGCTGGTAGAACCGAGATGCTTCATCACCTCTTTTTGAATCAGATGAGGGCAAAACAACCCCAAATCATTTAACTTGTTTACACTTAGAGTAGAAGTTGAAAAAAGGGGAAAAGAAGGGGTCATGGTTGGGTATCTGGTATCGATGATGGCAATTACGTTCATCTGGATACACAGGAACCAAACCCACACCCGGATAAAGGGAAGAGAGTTTTGCAGATGGTCATTGCAAATCAACAAAGCCAGCATCACTGAATGCTTCCTGTGTGCAGGTGCTGGCTGGGCCAGGGTCCCTCTTTTTGTTAACAACCAGTTGATGTGAACCCCTTGATGGGGACCTCTGTCTAATGAGAGAGATGGAAGAGCTCATCTTCTCACTGAAAGGAGCATTCAGTTCAACTTAATGAATGTTTACCACATACTTATTGTAGGCCAGGCTTGACGACAGGCACTGGGTGCCTGCAAAAGCAAGGCAGGGACCCTGCCTCCAGCTAGTGAGGAGGGGGACCGATGTCCAGGAAGAAGAATTAGCACTCAAAGCCCTGGACACTGGGCTTCCCTGACACCGCCCCACCGGCCTCCTTGGGCCAGATGAGACCTGTGATGCAGCTGGACGCAGTCCCCGAAGGCTTCACAGTCTGGTCCCCATCCAGCCCTGCGCCCTCCGCCCTCTGCCCCATCTGCATGTAACGGAAACAGATGGGCGAGCTGGCTTCTGAGTCTCGTGCCCCTGCATGCAGACCCGGGCCCTGGAGGAAGTGTGCCTGCCTGGCTTCAAAGCCATGGCCCACCCTTTCCTCCAGAGCCAGCCTGGCTGTGGCGCTGCCTGGGCTGGTGGATGCCAAGTCTGTGCCTGGACATCAAAACAATGCAGCCTCCCTCTTACCTCATCTCTCCGCCTTTGTGGCGGACAGCTCACGGCCCACTCTGTGCTGGAGAGGGCAAAGCTTCACCTCTGGCGCATGTGCCCCTCCTTCAAGTGTCTCCCCGTCGTGCCGGGTTCCCAGGCAGCTCTCCTCGCAGACCACGGATTTTCCACCAGGCCTTGCCTGAGATTCCACACCTGGGCTCATCGTCAGATTCACCTGGTGGGCTTCTCGGAAGTATCTGCTTCTTGTTTGGTCCCTCAAGAATATTTCCAAAGGTTTCGGGGGAGCCTAGAGATCTGTTTTTTTGAGAGTGTCCTGGGGGATCCTGGCAGCAAACCAGGCTGTAAGATGCATGTCCCAAGCCAGGCTCCCCAAATGCACATTTTGCTGGGCTGCCGTTCTCTTGTGAAATGTTTCCCAGAAACTTTGCCTGCAAAATCTTCCTTTCCTGGAGATTTGTGATCACAGTGACACACTGAGGGACTGATGAGCCTTTACAACAGATAGCTGTTGTCTAAAGGTAAACACACTCTTTTGAGAGAAGATAATTTTTTTTCCTGGCATCACAATGGTTTTTTCTAGGACTAGAGAGGAAAGTCTTACTCCAGATGTTTTCTTACTTCTTCCCTCTTTTCCATAGACACATACCTACCTTGTGCCCATTCTTTCCACGGGTGTCATGGAATCATAAGGGAAAAATGACTGGAGAAATGAATCCTGTGCCATTCATTAACTCATTAGTGAGTTCTCACCTCCCAGGAAAGATAGTTCTGTGATCCAGTTTAAATATTTACATTTCCATGATGCTTTTTAATCGAGGATCTTAACTTTAGAAATATCAGACTTTATGACAGATGGAGAAGGGATTTGGGGGGGACTATGAGCTTTTGAGAGCAAAATTTATTAATTCATTCAACCAGCCAACAACCAATCAACGAACCAACCACACACCAACCACACACTCATTCACTCACCCACCCACCAGCCAACCAACAAATCACCAACTGCCTATAAACCACTAACCATCCAAGCAATCAACCACCAACCAGCCAACCAAGCACTCACCTACCTACCAACAAACCAACCAACCACTCACCCACCTACCAACCAACCAACCAACCACTCACCCACCTACCAACCAACCAACTAATCAACCACCAACCAACCAATTAGCCAATCACCAACCAACCAGTCAAGCACCAACCAACCACCAACTAACCAACCAACCAAAAACCACTTACCCACCAACCAGTCAGCCAACAAACCACCCGCTAACCAACCAACTACTTACCCACCAATGAATCAACACTTTATATTAAATAAGGTGCCTTTAAACAGAAACATACATAAAACAAAGTTATATATGGATTGGTTGACAAAAATGCTATGGTCAGGGCTGGTAGGAACATACCCCATATTTCTCCTGGGAACAATGGTTCAGCATAATTGTCTCTTGGTATCCTTGGGGGATTTGTTCCAGGACCATCTGCGGATACGAGAATCCAAAGATATGCAAGGCCCTGATATAAAATGGCATAGTGTTTGCATATAATCTATGCACACCCTCCTGTATACTTTAAATCATTTCTAGATTACTTATAACACCTAATACAATGTAAATACCATGTAAATAGTTGTTATACTATATTGTTTAGGGAATAATGGCAAGAAGTAAAATAGACATGTTTAGTACAGATGTAACCATCATAGGCCTAATTACATTATCAATCCAGGGTTGGTTGAATCTGAGGTTTTGGAATCCATGGATTCGGAGAGCTGACTGTATTTGCTAATTCACTGTTCTTGGTGACTTTAGAGAACAGAAGTACTGAGAATGACAAGCATTGACTGTACTTTGTCTAATACTGAGAATGAAGGAGAATAAATGAGAATTCAGGAAGCATAAAACAAATTAGTTTACAAAGTCTGAGATAAGCTGGCATTTACTGATGATTTGCTTAGATACAGATCTCCCGGCCCTTAAACGTTAACTACAGTTCACAACCGTGTTGCCTGAGCCCCTAGTTGTTCTCCCTTCTAGCTTCTCTCCATAATTTGGGAGGAATTTGACACTTTTGTGGTCAAAAGCAAGAGAAACTGAGACCCTCTCTGAGGTTCACTGATAATTTTATTCTGTTTTTAAAAATAAGGCCAAGATATAATAAAGTGCACAAATCTATACAGTTTGATGGACTTTTGTGTATGTATACAAGCATGAAATCATCCCTTGAACCAAGGTTTAGGGCATTCCTCCTTAGATTGTTGTAGGTCTGAGAGACACACCTCCTTATACCTGGTGTATTCATCAGAAATGATCCCATGTGACCTTCGGAGAGATATCGCCTCCTATAGCCACAGCAAGGATGTGGTTTTTGTCTTCAGGCTCATTAAGAAGTCCATATATTGATAAAATATATAACATTCACATCATAAAACAAAACAAACCATGCAGATGGATAGGAAAAGAAGGGGTATTGCCTTAAACTATGGTGGAAGACAACATTGTTATTTATTAGTTAATGAGCTGATTCTTTGAAAATGATTAACTTCTAGAATATAGATGTTGAACAAGGTAGCATTCCTCCTTATCACTGAGCAAATATTTGTGGATGGCTATTTGGATGCTAATAAAATGTATTGAGATCAATACCTTCTTCATAATTTTTGGCTCGTAAACATTTTGTTCATATCCTGGAGACTCATGTGTGCAGCACGTGTTTTTCACTGGATGTAGCAAAGCTTGTGGGGTGGCTTTCCTTCATAATTGTCTTCTGTGGATTTATGGTCAGCTTTTGTTTCAACAAAATCAACTACCAAAGAAGCTTGTGACCATGAGTTTGTGAGAAATCTTCAAATTCATTTTTGTTATAGGTGGTATTTAGTAGGTTTTTGTTCGTTTGTTTGTTTGTTTGTTTGAGACGGGTCTGGCTGTGTCACCCAGGCTGGAGTAGAGTGGCGCATTCTAGGCCCACTGCAACCTCCGTCTCCCTGGTTCAAACAATTCTGCTTCAGCCTCCTGAGTAGCTGGGATTACAGGCACATGCCATCATACCCAGCTAATTTTTGCATTTTTAGTGGAGACAGGGTTTCACCACGTTGGCCAGGCTGGTCTCGAACTCCTGACCTCAGGTGATCCACCCATCTCGGCCTCCCAAAGTGCTGGGATTATGGTGTGAGCCACAGCACCCAGCCTTTTTCTGAGAAAAAAAGATAGATATGTAATAATCTTGCATGATAGGTTTTTTGTTCTGTAGGGTTCTCTGGCAGCCCCTGTTTTATCCATTGGACCAACTGTCTGTAAAGGCAGGTAACTTACTTACTTCTTTCTCCTGGAGAAGGACTTTTTGCCCTAACCGAAGCACACTAGTCACAGAGTTGTCCTAGTGACAAAGACACAAATTGAAGCTGCACTCAGTACTCATGGCTGATCAAGGGAAGTGAGCTCATCTCACCTTGACTCACAGCGATGACAGGTTCAAGCCCCTGCATGTGGGCCCGTTCCTCAGAGGATGTTTGCAATGGGGGTGGGGGTTGCCATGGTGATGCCCAGTCAACAGAATGGAGAAAAGAGAAATTTGGTTTGAAATGAAATTTGAGTCTTGAGAGAGGGCTGATATGAAGGAGAATCAAACAAGCCACATGGGAGCATCTGAAGGCCTGGAGATAAGGGCCTGTTGCATGGCTGTGAAAATTTGGCCTTTAAAATAACTAGGCATGGGCCAGAAATCACAGCCGGCGGCTGCGACCACCCAAGTGAGTCAAAGGGAGCTGGATGAGAAGGTGGGGGGCACGCCTGGGTTAGGGTCCTTGACAGTTTTGTCCAGATTGGGTTTGAGTGTGGGGTGTCCTCATGGGACTCTGGTGAGTTGGGGGTGGGAAAGGCGGTTGACTCCTTGGGGGCTGGTCACCACTCAACAGCTGTTCTCCAGTGGCACTTTATGAAGCAATGTTAGCAATGGGAGCTCCCCTGCCAAGATGTGGGTGGTCGGTACCCAGTGGCTTTCAAAGCCAGCAACCCAGGGATCTCACAGAAGTCCATCAGCCTGAAGGCAGGCACGTGGGAGATGACTAAAACCAGGTGATGTAGGCAAGAGGTACCCTCAGAACGCCCTCGAGTTGCCCCATTGTTCTTTTCTGTGCTGCCTGTGTGTGCAGCCGCTGAGCTCCTTGTGTTTTCGGGAGGTGGAGTATGCACCCCTGTGGGCTCATCCATCCTCGCCCTCATCATCCTCCCTGGCACCGTGCAGACTCTGAGCTTCTGCCCGCCCCACCCAGGTGTCTCATCCCACCTGCCTCGGGGAGCCTGGCTGAACAGCAGGCACCACCCTGAGCCACCCCTTCCCAGCCAGAGCAGCTCCGGTCGGAGGCTTCCTCCCAACAGGCGGGCTTCTTAAGCCTCCTTAATCTGCACGGAGGAAATTCAGAAATCCAGTCATCCTGAAACCATCTTCCTTCGGGGCAGGACAGAACCCGTGTGTGTGGGTAGATGAGTGTGGATGGTGGGGGTGGGAGGCACATTTGTCATCGTGCTCAGCCCAGAACTTCCCAGATGTTCAGGCCAATCAGGGTGAACCCTTGAACTTCCCTGGGCCTCTGATGCCCGGCTAGTGCCTCAAAAAGCCTCATCCGCGGGTGCTTAAAAAAAAAGACTTGAGGCTTCTTTACAGACACAGCTCATTCTAGAAATCTTCCAGCCCCAACATCACCAAAGGCGAAGAGAAGAAGGAAACTCACTATTCTAGCAGTCCCTGGGCCAAGAGCCTGTTAAGCCATTTTACGAGCCGTCCCCTAAAACATGACAATTCTGCCAGGCAGGTGTGGCAGAAGCGGGGCTATGTCTTTCCCAGAACACTGCAGCTTCAGCATGTCCTGCTTGCAGCCGGGGCCCCTGGGAGTGATGCTGGAGGACACCACCTCCAGGCTGCCCCAGAAACCTCCTGCCCAATACTCACACCGTCTCTCTTCATCTGTTGACCACTTTAGGGCAGGAGATCCAGCGGGGGACTATGGAGCTCAGTGGAGCTGCGGCCTGGGAGAAGCCCACCCAAGAGAACCATGTAACTAGAAACCATCACATTCGGCTTCGTGTGAGGGAGAAGCAGGTGTTTCATTGCACGCAGTTACTGAGATCTGGGGTTGTTTGTTATTGCAGCAAGGACCCACCCTAACACACGAGGTGTTATATGCATTTTACAGATTGCCAAGATGGTACAGACAGCAGAAGTGGCAAAACAACACTTAAACTCAAACCTGCCCAACTTCAAAGTCCACGCCCTTCCCTGGGCTTCAGACTGCCGTCTTTGATGCTATCTTTCATTGAGATGTTGTTTGCATTAAATGGGGGATCTTGCGGCACACGGTGGACCTTGCCCAGCACCCACTCTTCCTAGGGCCAGCCTTACTCTGTGGGGTCAGCCTTTGACCGTCTGGGCCATGAAGGTGGCTGATGAGGCCCCTTCGACAGCCAAGTTGGGGCACAATCTCCTCCGGATGTTGTTATTCCTTCACAGTCTCATCGCAGGCGGGGAGGAAGTCAGAGGGCTGATTTAGAGGACAGAGATACAAACAGAGTGAGCAGAGGATGTTTGGCTGCAGTTGCTCCAGAGTTTCAAGGGAGAAAACACAAGCATTGCTGAGCGGCCATTAGGGGCTTGCACGCTCAGCTGGGCACATGTCCACACCGAGGCATCACGTGCGGTCTGAGCTGAGCTCTCATCTCTGGGTTTCAGGACTTTCAGCACAGTCCTGGCCCTTCACGTTTAGTCTGGGTGATCAGGGATGTAAACCAGCAATTGCAAGGTGGTGAAGCACCACCGTGGAAGGGCACCAGCCGGGCCCTGGGGTCACAGAAGTGCCCCAGGAAGTGTGGCCGTTAAGCCTGGTGAGAGGAGAGCGAGCCGGGAGGACGGTGAGAGACAGGCATGACGGGGCGGTGAGTGTGACTGCTGCTGAGCATGTCTGAGACGGCAGGCAGTCACCAAAGGCTTGTAAGCAGAGGCAACACCCTGACTTGTGGTTTGGAGAGATCATGGTGACTGCCGTGCAGGGACGGAATGGAGGCTGCTCCAGTGACTCTGGCCGTGGGCAGTGGTGGGCGGGTGAGGGGACAGAGGAAAGTGGATGGAGTTGCTGCCCCCACAACCCTGCTGAGAAAGTGCCCACGGGACCTGGCGGGGTGTGAGTCACACTTGGGCTGCTCTGCCTGGCTCTGCACCTATTTCGTGAGCTGGAAGGGACAGCCTGAGCCCCGTCCCTTGGATGGACATCAATGCAGGAGTAAGGGTCTGTCTCTGAAGCTCTCTGAGCAACGGAAGGGAAGGTGCCCACTGGGCTCAATGCAGAGATATTGGGGCTGATGTGGCAGGAGGGGTGGGTGTGCAGGCCCGGCGGGGAAGGAGACTTCCAAACAGACGGGCTGCCCCACGGGGAATCTGGCTGGGGCCAGTCATTCTCAGAGTCAAACCATCTTCATTCAACTCCGAGGCTGCCCCAGGCCAGTAGCGTCCTTCCTGAGAGCGCTTCCTGCGAGATTTATGAGGCAGGGGCCAGGCCTGGATCGTAGAAAGCTAGAGAATGCCTTGGCTGCCCAGGGAAGTCTGGAATTTCTTCCAAACCAAGCTTCCAGACGTCCCTCTGGACTCCTCTGTCTGAGAATGGGCACTTTAAAGGCCCAGGAGAGAACTCCCATGACACCGTTTTCCAACCTCCCATCTCCCCTCCCCGGCAGCTCCCCATTTCCGGCATCTCGGCTTGGCAGGACCCCTCCAGGACCTCACTCCTCTGAGACGCACTGCAGACCTCACAGGTGACAGCAGCGTTTTGCTGACTCAGAGGCAACTACCACGATGACCCTCCAGCCCGTGTCCAGACCTGGGGCAGCGACTTGGACAGGGGGCTGCAGAAGTGGGTCTGTGAGGGGGACCTGACGGGGGGCTGCAGAAGTGGGTCTGTGAGGCGGACCTGGGGGGGCAGCCCTGGGGTGGGCTCACTGGGGTTCACTCCACCTCGAAGACTTCAATTCCAGCTCTGGCTGGTTTTGTTGGATTAGGAACACACAGCCAGCCAAATCTTGGTTACTAGGGTGCCAGAGATCACGTGGAGAAATGAAATAAAGAGAGAACCCCCAAACGGTGGTGCTGCCATGCATTGGAGCCTCTCGCCCCAACAGCATTCTTACTTTATTTATTTATTTCTCATCCACATTTTGCTGGAAGATTTTGCGCATTCATAATGGCAAACAGAATATGGCGATAAGCTTCTGTGTACACTATCATCAACAGCTTTCAATTCCTAATTAACCTTATTTTATCAATATTCCCCATAATCCCCCATGCTGTTTCTTGGCAAATCTAGATGACCCACCATTCCAGCCTTAAAAATTTCAGTGTATAACTGACCAAAGCTTTTTATTAGAATTGCTAGGTAGGGAGGAAATTTAAGTTTCTATGACTATGCCTAGTAAAGTTTGAAAAGAAGACAACGGGGGAAATAGACATTGACAATTCATATTGAATAATTGCACAGAGACAGTTCCTTTGTTTGAGGCTAAACCGAGACAGAGCCTCAGATACCCTCACTCACTCCTCTCTGGCTGAGAGGGGAGGAATTTTCGTCTGGGTCAGGGAGCAATGAGGTGGGAGTTTTGTGCTTCGGTTCTGGGGTGGAGATGGAAGGTCATAGGTAGCAGTCCAGTAACTGGCCCCATAAATGGTTCTGTGAGGCAGAAGCAGCTGCTTTGTGGAGGACTTGTGAGACTCTGAGGGAGGAGGAGGGAGGGCTCACGCACACCAAGGCGGCCCCCATTGTTTGGGTTTTGGGAACCCTGGGAGACAGTGGCCGTGGTCTCTGGTTCCCCTCACTGGGGCTCCAGGAGCAGTGGCCATGTTCAGACCAGAACAAAGGGGTCAGGACCAAGAGGATAAAGAGATACAGGCATGGCTGCTGGTGGGACCTGGTGGTCTGACAACAGAACACCACAAGACATCCCTCAGGGACCGTGTGTCCTTTAGAGACACTTCCCTCCACAGGGATGTGGCCATCAGATGTCTGTCCAACCCGAGAGCTAGCTGTGCAATGGGCCCAGTGTGGAGGTATAGCCAGTGGGAGGGCTGGAGCCATGGTCGGGAGTGGAGGGGTTGCCTGCAGTGCCTGTGGACGGGAGGGGCACCAGGAGAGGAGGGTCTGGAGGGGGACACCAGGAGAGGGGGATCTGGGGGGAGATACCAGGAGAGGGGGATCTGGGGGTATACCAGGAGAGGAGGATGGCGGGGGACACCAGGAGAGGGGGACCTGGGTTTTACCAGGAGAGGGGTACCTGGGAGGATACCAGGAGAGTGCACCTGAGTGGGACACCAGGAGGTGGAGACCTGTAGGGGGAATGCCAGGCGAAGGGGACCTGGAGGGTAACACCAGGAGAGGAGGACGGGGGTGGGGGGACGCAAGGAGAGGGGCAGGGCTTGGAGTCACTCTGCCATCTTGGGCTCCTCAACTTTGGGATGCCAGCTCAGCCTTTCTGAGACTGGGTTTCCTCATCTGTAAAATAGAGGGATCTCCCCACAGAGCGTTTGTGAGGATTAAAGGATCAATTCCAGAAAAAGGCTCAAAGCAACGCCTGTCCCGCGCCCGGCCCACAGTGAAGCTGGGCGTCGTTACTCCTGCTGTGGTCACTGGTGGTGTGAGGACCGCAGCACAGGGCAGGAGGGACACGGCCCACAGGGCGTCCGGCCTCCTTGGCACCTGCTCCAGGGCCCTTCCCGTCACCTCCTGGCTCCTCCGTGCACGTCTTGCTCCAGCGCTGCGTGGCCGCCTGTCCCCATTGCTCCGGAGCCCTTTACATTCATTTCTCCTCACCTGGGACCCTCTTCCTCCCCTCTCTGCAGTGGAGGCTCCCAGCCTTGTCCAAGGGCTTCCTGGGAAGTCACTTTCCCTCCGAAGCATCTCATGCACCCTCCGGGCACCCTCACCCCTCCAGAGGTCCTGTGGCTCCCCAACTAGTGGGTGACACTGTCCTATTGCTGGACGCCATGGCTTCGAGGGCCTGTGTTACCCTTGGGCAGGGCCTTTAGTCCTGCAGGCTTGGACTCTGTCTTATTCATCCAGCCCCTGCATGCCTGGCATGGGCCAGGGCCTGGGCTGGGGGCTCAGGAGATGTAGTTGGATCTGAATGCTGGGTTGGAGAATTCTGTAAACACATAGGATGCAGGGTGAGTGGCCGTATGGGACATGAGCAAAGTCCTCTGGGAACCTGAGGCGCAAACTCTGAGTTCATTTTCACACCCTCCATGGTGCACACTGCCATATACCAGCAGGTGCCCCCAAACGCACAGCTGAATGACAGAGAGAAGTCAACCCGTGCAGGCTTCATCTGACTGTCTCCAGACGACTGGGTCCCTGGCCCTGGGCGAGCCCCTCCCGGAGGGTCTCCCTGCATTCTCTGCCAGGTCTGGGCCCAGGACCATCCTCTGGGGGATGGGTGTGTTGACTGCTGGCTGTAGAGTGTGGCCTGTATCTGCCCCTCTCTGGGTCCCACCCTTCTGGGACTGTCTCAGATTTGAGGAAAGGAAGATGGATGTTGTCTGGTCCGGTCCGTGCCTCACCGTAAGGTGTCGTGTTGTGCTTTTGGCCACTGAAGATTTTCCCTGGTCTCTGGAGCTCCAGCCAAGCTCTCTGAGCGCCAATATCATGTTTCCGTTTTCCCGCTGTTCTCAACAAGCAGCTATGGATTGACTGGTTGATCGCAAGGCTGTTTTAAACAAAATAGAATATATTTCTTTCAAGAAGTCCAAAGCTCTCAGAAGAGCATTTCCAACTTATTTCCAATAATCTCTAATCTCTGAACAATGTCAACCCATCACTCCTAGATCTTTCAGGCACTCCCCATCCCCCCACGCTGACCCTTTCCTGTCTCACACACACTGTCTGGAGATAAAACTGTGGGGGGCGGAGGTCTGGGAAAGAGAGAGAGACACATACACACAGAGAGTCAGAAAGAGAGATCAGAGAGACAGAGAGACAGAGACAGAGACAGAAAGAGTTAGTGAGATCAGAGACAGAGATTCAGAGAGATCAGAGAGAGAGTCAGAGAGACAGAGACAAGAGAGAGGGACTCAAATATGTTTCAGACAAGAACCTGAAGCAATTGAGTCAAAGTTCTGCAAAAAAAAAAACCCACGAAATTTAATTTTAGATGGAAAAAAAATGACGAACCCCTTTGAGGCCTGCCTGTTAGTTTTGGTTGTGTGTCATTGTTTAAATATTCTTTGCATTTCCCCTCGCCAAAGACTCTAGTTAAATTAGAGCCAGCTTAAAGCACGCTTTATTTATGGCCGTGCCTACCCCCAAGCCTCGGGGTTGTTTTGAGCCAGCAGGGAAGGTGTACTTAATATAGAGCAGGAGGGTATGTGTGCAATGTTCTTTGAATGATGATTGCAAGGTGCACAGAGAAGATTTGACTTTATTTAGACATTCGGTTTCTTCACAGTCTCCTCTCTGGAAGGGCTCTTGGCTTCCTCTCCAGACAGCATGTGTGTGGTAAGGAAAAAGCCTGCATGTGGAGGTCTGTGGGAGGAGGTGTGACTGCAGGATCGGGGTAAAAGATTTTCATTATGAGGGAGGGTGCGTCACCCACACTAGGAATTCCCAGGAGGTGCAGTTTGATTAAATATTTGTATGGTCCAGGTTACCCTCAGCTACCCCGATAGTGGGTGCTCCCCGAGGCAGTGTGTATTTTGGGGAACAGTAAAAAAAATCCACGCTGCTTAATCAGAGATAAAACATTCAGAGACGGCAATGATTGGTGCATACCTGCGTGGAGGGTCTACACTCTAAAATATTTGCCAGCATATTATTCTCAACTTATGAAGCAACACACCAAGGCATTCTGGGTAGAGGGGGAGACCCATAAAAAAGCTTGTGCCTTTAATAAAATGTGTACCGGCCGAGCGCGGTGGCTCACACCAGTAATCCCAGCACTTTGGGAGGCCGAGACAGGAGGATCTCTTGAGCCCAGAAGTTTGAGGCCAGCCTGGGCAACACGGTGAAACCCCATCTCTACAAAAAATACACAAATTAGGTAGGTGTGGTGGTGCATGCCTGTGGTCCCAGCTACTCAAGAGGCTGAGGCAGGAGGATCACTTGAGCCGGGGAGGTCAAGGCTGCAGTGAGCTGAGGTCGCACCATTGCACTCCAGCTGGGGTGACAGAGCAAGACACTCTGCCTCAAAAAACAAAATAAGCAAAAAAACCACGTACTTTCATAAAGCTGAGTTGTGTTTGCAAGGACACGTCTCCCCTATAAGGAAGACTTGGGAGAGAATTGATGCTGAGAACACCAGAGCTATCCTCAGACAGTGCACTCCTTGTTTTAAACTAAATTCAGTAAATATTTTGGAGGATTTTTGATGTGTCAGATACACTCACTCTTTGTCCAGGGCAACTGGGAACTGGACGAAGGGCAGGACCTGGGGTTCCTGAGTCTGCTCAGTTACTCAGGAGCAGCCCAGTACCACCCGGGCTCCAGAGAGCCTGTTCCCTCTGAGGGGACGTCGGGGGCCCTCCAGAGGAAGGCGACCTTAGAGGTGCACCTGCCAGATAGGTGGGTGCTCTTCCTGTGCCCTGGCACAGCTTGAGGGTGTGAAGGCAGCCGAGTCTCCTTCCTGGGGACAGTGGCCTCGCCTCTCCCTCCTGGGCAGCAGCTTGCCTCCAGGAAGGTGGCCGAGGGCACCGACTCCTTCCCCAGTGGTGGAGGATTGGGGCTGCAGTCAGGGGTGGGGGCAAATGGCTAAGGAGGCAGCGTGGGGGTGGCGTCCAGCCCTGTGCAGTGCCCTTGCCCCCACCGCTTGCCCTTCTAGCTTCTGGACTAACCCCTGCTGCCTCCGCCCAGGCTCCTCTGGGGGTCAGAGCAAAGAGGACAGGGTGAGGGGACATGGTGCTGCTGGTTCCGGGTGCTGCCTTCACCCTGGGAAGCTGGCGCCAGCTTTCTTGGGTGGGGGCTGCATTTACATAATGGTGAGTTCTCTGGAGGAACACCCCCAGCAGCATACGGGGTCCTCAGCACCACAGCATTCCCTGATGGGCAGATGACCCCTCCGGCCTCTCTGTGCCTCCTGCATCTTCCTGCCGTGGTCACCCTGGCCACCTCCTTCCCGATGAGCCCAGCCCTTCCCCGGCCACCTCCTTCCCGATGAGCCCAGCCCCTCCCCGGCCACCTCCTTCCCGATGAGCCCAGCTCCTCTGCAGCACCCACTCAGCTCCGGGGACCCTTGCGCTCCCCACGACATGCCACAGGGCACACTGTTGAGTGACGCTGGCCGGTTCTCCTGGTTCTGCCCAGAGACCCCCAGGGGCGCTGCTCTCAGGCCTCTTCCCTGGAGCACTGAGCTTCCCGGCCACGTGTCGCACAGCCTCCTGGCAGCCTCAGGGACAGATACCCCTCAGCCAGGCAGCCCAGCGGGGGGTCTCAGGACCTGCTCCCTTGGCTGGTAGTTGGAATGCGGGGGCAAAGAGCAACTCCTTTCCTACCCTTCCCTCGGGGAAAGGGGAAGACATGCCCTGTCCACTCCCAGACCCTCCCAAGGGAAAAGAGGCTGCAAAACACCATTTGGTGAGAGGCCTGGTGGAGCCAGGAGACGCAGGCGCTCAGGGAGAGACAGGCCCCTCCACACCGGGGCCTCCTTCTGGAAACTTAGTTAGAATTTGTCCCTGAATTATAATAAGACAGCCTCTACTTTGAAAAGAAACCGGCTTTGATGTATTGTTTGGCGGCAGCTCCCCAACACTGAGATCTGACGTGCCCCCAGATTCCCTGGGCTCAGAAAACAGGACACGCCGAGGACATAGAAGCCTGGGTGAGCAGACCCCAAGGGAAGCCCCGGTGTTAGAGAGGAACCTCCCTCCGGAAAGACGCCGGGTTCCTCAGAGGGCCGTTTTCATGTGAGATGGGGATGTTTTATTGGGTGCAGTGGCAGGACCAAGGGCTGGGAGCAGGGAACCTCTGGGCTTGCCCTGGAAGCTTCCATATGGGGGCAGCCAGGCAGAAGCCTGTGGGGTGAGTGCTGCATGCCACAGGGGTGGAGGAGTGGGCTCCCTGGAGGAAGATCTCCTGATCCTCAGGCCTCCTCCAGCACCAGGCGCAGAGCTTCCGCCACCAAGGATGTTCCAGCAGAGACCACACAGCCGCGTGGCCTGGACTCGAAGCCATCGAAGTTTTGAATCTCTAAGTCCTTATTTCTTGCCAGCCCAACTATTAATAAATCAAAAGCTCCTTGGAGCGTTGGTTTTTATTTTCTTCTCCCCTAGAACAGTGTGGAAGGAATGAGTGCCTGCTGCCCATGGCCAAGAGACCCCTGACCCCTGGTGATGAGGAAGCTCTTGCTTGTCACTCAGCCCCACATGGTCTGGCATTCACGAGCCCAGTCATCACTTTCTAATCAGGAGATGTCTTATCCTTTTATGGTTTTGTTCCCACCCTTGCGAGGTCAGCTGAGGGTTGACCCTTTGTCTCAGGAAGGTGGCAGGAGCCAGAGAGGAGCAGCCCGAGGTGCTCGGAATTGTACCTGCTCAGGAAGCCAGGCATAGAGTCCACGAAGCTTCACTCCTGAGCCCCTGGGGAGCATTCCTGGCAGCGTCGGCACAGGCAGAACCATGGAAGGAGTCGGCGTCCACCCCGGGACTTGGTGGTACCCAGTCTTCTCCTTGCACACAAATGCCACCGTGCCTGTCATTCAAGTATTGCTTTACCTAAAAGGCTTGAATTTGGAGGGGGAGGCAGGGGACATTTTCATCTCCTAAACAAGGTATTTCTATAGTATAGTCGTTGCTTATCAAAATCACACCTTACTTTTGAAATTTAAAAACATGCAAAAAATATATTTGAGCAGTTCTCCCTTGGAGTAAGGGGATCCCCATTACAAGTGCAAAATCCTCCTTGAGGGGTAGAACCAGCTCATTAACCCCGTCACTCCCTCCGAACCCTTAAGCATGGCTAGTTTGTTAGATTACATACCACAGAATGATCTGGAAAGAAGGATTGCATAACTCGTCAAGGAGAGTGTTGGTTTTGGGCATGGCATGGGGGTGGTGGGTTGGCTGGGAGGGAGATGTGTAGGTCTGAGGTCCCTGAGAAATCCCAGTGTCACAACATGGCTGAGCCCAGGGCATTTAGGAGGCTGTGGGCTAGAGGGCCAGAGTCTTCCAGCTGTGCTTCTCAGAGACCTGGGGGTCGGTGGGAGGTCTTCTCCCATCCCCTCTTCAACTGCAGCTTGGCTGCTTGGCTGTGCTTTATAGACTGGCTTAACTCATGAGAGTCCATCGGAAGGGCTCTTGGCTAAAAAAAAGTGTTGCCAGGTGCCGTGACTCACACCTGTAATCCCAGCACTTCGGGAGGCCAAGGTGGGAGGATTGCTTGAGCCCAGGAGTTTGAGACCAGCATGGGCAACATAGCGAGACCCTGTTGCTACAAAAAATCTAAAAATTAGCCTGGTGTGGTGGTGCAGGCCTGTAGTCCCGGCTACTCAGGAGGCTGAGAGGCAGGAGCATGACTTAAGCTCAGGAGTTCAAGGCTGTGGTGAGCCATGATCATGCCACTGTACTCCAGCCTGTTCAGCGTGCAATGGCACAATCATGGCTCACCACAGCCTGTGCCTGTGACAGAGACTCCAAATCTAAAACATAAAGAAAGGAAAAGAGTGTGAAGCTGCTGATGCAATCCCCTTGTCTCAAGTGATAGACAAGATGTCTGGGGTTCAAGATTGCCGATGTGTCCACGGGCATGGGGTGTTGGTGCAGCCCTGGACCTGGGGCAGGGGGCTGTGTGCAACCAGGCCTGGTCAGCATTGCTGTCGCTACTACTCTTGTGCAACAAGTGGGGACAACACAGCGCAGCACGGAGCGTTTTCTGAGAAAGGCCGGGGGGTCCGGAGTGTGAAAGGACACCTCAGGGCTGGGGCATGGCAGGGAAGGCTCTGGGTGCTGAGTGCTTGCAGTCCAGGGGGCTTCGGAGCTGCTGAGAGAGGACGAGCCTTGGGTGCTTGACAGTTCTGCGGACAGTTCAGAGGCTGCAAACGCTTCCTGACTCCCCAGGACTGGTATTCTAAACTTGGAACTCGCAGTGCGCTCTTGGCGGGCTTCAGAAAGTTCACGAACACCCTGAACTTGTACCAAAACATTATGTGCATGGGCGTTTCTCTGGAACCGCGGTCCAGGGCGAGGGAAGTTTGTGATAATTGCATTTTTGAAGGAGCAAAGGACCCCTGCTGGGGTACGTCACATGGGGACCCAGGGCCCATCCTGTCTGGCCCTTTTCTCTCCACTTCAGCAGGAAAACACACACACACACACACACACACACACGAGTCTTCAAACTTGGAATAGTGATTGCACTGCTAGAATGCTTATTTGTGTGTGCAGGTGTAGCTTTAGAGATGGAGGCAGGGAGAAGGACTATGCATTCTGAGAGAGGGAGGGATTGAGAGAGAGAGAGAGAGTGTGTGTGTGTGTGTGTGTGTGTGTGTGTGTGTGTGTATGTCAGCAGGAATCTGAAAGTACAGCTTGGTGACTGTAAGGGCTGGAGGTGTCGGTGTTTTCTTGCCTGTTCCTTCTCTCTGAACAGAGCTCTCTGTTTGGAAGACCTGTCTTAGCTGTTCCTTCAAAAGTTCTGTGTGTTCTCCTCTGATCTGAGCTGACTTTCGGGGCATGGCTCCAATGGTTTGCCAGCAACTTAGGCCAACGGCAACAGCGGAAACCGAGACAGCTCTGCAAAAATATTTGTTTAATTAGCAGAAACGATCTGTGATCAGAATCCATGTTTAACGACCTGGCTTACAGCCAAGCTCAACACATTTTCCTTCAGGACTGTTTTTGGTGTTGAACTGAGCAAATTCAGCTCTGACCTTCATCCTGGCTGGGGGAGGGGAGACGCCCCACCCTGCTCAGACCCTGGGCTTTTTATTGAAAGGCAGTGCCAGGCACACTCTGATGGGTCTTGGGGGAGACCAAGGGTGCCCTGCTCAATGTCAGCCCTGACTCTGTGCCACGTGCACTCAGCTCTGCCACGGAGGTGCATGGCTCTGTAGACGTGGACGGTGAGCTGGGGAGGAAGGTGGTCTTGGAGAGAAATGCCCCATGGGGAGCTGAGACCTGTGTGTCATGGGATCATCCTGGATTTGGCTTAAAATCCACGTGGCTGTGGAAATCCCAGGGTGCACCGAGGATCTGTGGGGGAGCAGGGGTAAGTCCAGGTGAACCTCGAGCTGTTCTCAGCCCTGAGGTTTGGGTCACTCCGAGAGCACTTGGGTCTCTGCCGAACGGCACAGATCATTCTCAGGCCCTTACAACCATCCGGGTCACTCTAGAATTCCTTTTAGGACTCCTGGGCTGGGCTGTGGCTATTCAGGACTCTGGGTAAGAGCCCTTGGAGTCACCTGGGAGGTAGAATCGCCATTTTCTAGCAGCCATCTTGAATGGCAGATTCCCTGCAGTTCAAGCTGGGGCTGCCCAAGGGGTTCTGGGGGGTCCTGGGTGCCTTCCAGTTGCCCCTCCAGGTGCACCCCCTCCTCCCCCAGGACACTGACCGGCGGGGGCCATCGTGGGGGACCTTGTGCTCTCTGGCTCTGGCTGGCTCAGCCAGTGGGAGCCTGTGGGGCTGGGAGGGAGGAGGGTGTGATGAGGCATCTCCTTCCCGCTGGGCTCCTCCCCACCTCTTTCCTCCTTTTCCAAGTCCCCTGACCATCCCTCCCCTATCTCTCCAGGTCTCTTAAATTACCACGGTGCCAGCTACATGGCCCGGGTGGGTGGTTCCCCACACTGCCTACCCCTTCATACCTCGCCCCATTACACCCTCCTGGAATCATTCTCACTGGAGGCTGCACCGTTTCCTGCTGCCCACGATGAACAAAGCAGGAAACTGTCTTTTCCAGACTTCCCCACGAAGTGAGGTTTTGACGACCTCATTCTCCAAGAGCAAACCCAGCCCCTGGAGTCCGTTCTTTCCCTGCGCGCGTGGACACCCCTGCAGCAGTGGCTCCTTTTGGTGGCCGCTCTTCAGACACGTGCTAGAGAGCAATCATTGATGACAACGTTTTCTTTCAAAAGGCCCAGAAAACAAAATTAAATCTTGGGACTCGAAGCTTCCTGGGCCTGTGCCACGAAGGCCCATGCTTAGCCGGTCTGGTGCCAGGCTCTGTGACGTGTGGAAACCAGGCCCACCGACCACACAGCAGTGGCTGAGGATGGCTCCCTCCTCGGCTACTCTCTGAAATGGTAGAGGCCACTCTCATGGCTGAGTGGTCTCCGCCGTTCTGCAGAGGTGTGGATAAGAACAGGAGTTCCTGCTTGTCTCCTAGGGGTCCGTATTGAACGTTGGCAATCAGTGGAAATCCTGTCTCAGGCCCTCTCGGGGCCCCACACTGATCATTGTATTTAAATCCTCCCAGTGTCCTGCAGACACCTACCTCCCAGACCAAAGAGGGACCTTGCTGGTGGCCAGGAAACAAGCTGAAGCACAGAGAGGAGAGAAAGAGACAGAGTTGGGTCCTCGGGTCACCTTAAAAGGCTGTGAGACTTTTTGCCAGGGCAGGGCCTGGCGGGTGGTGGAGATGCAGGATGAAGGACTTAAGGAGGGATCTTTTACTTTCAGTGTGAAAGTGACCTGTGTTTTTATGAGGGGGCTAGAGAAATACTCAGAATCTGAGAGCAGGCAGTTGGAGTGGGATCTCAGCAAACTTCCGTGTCTGCATGGTCCTGCAACCATCGCCCTGGACAGAGGTCTCAGCTGGGTAGAGATGGACGGTTGTCAGGGCACAGCCTGTCCTTAGGGGGTGCTAGGAATGGGGATTGGGGTGAAGAGGAGTTCAGGAAAGAGGGGTGAGGCATGGGGAACCTGCTGGCTTAGAGGATGCAAAGGGGCAGGTTTTATGGACGCTTTATGCAGGTCCCTTTCATAAAGATACTTGCCCAGCCTGAGCAGAAACCCACACCCTAGAGTTTGTTTCTTCCCTGTGGGCACCCCCCGCCCCCGCAGCAGCGGCTTCTTTCAGTGGCAGAGGCTGACTCTTTTTGCAGCTTCTCCAGCACTTGCAAATGCAACTTCCTTGCACCCACTTCAGACACTTTACAGCTGGAACCCCTTCCTTCAAGGTTAGGGGCCCAGGCCCACAGCCCCTACCTCCAAGTTTCCACGTTTGAAGAATCCCAACCTTTTCCCTTTGCCTCCTCAGCCTCAGGGGTGACACCTCAGAGCTCCTGTTTACCTCTTTAGCCACCAGGTTAGTAATTTTACACCCATGCAAGTGTGTACAGGAATCTTCCGGATCCAAGTGGCTGGTGTGGGCGTTGTCTTCTGTCTGAACCCTGGCCCTTGTCTGTGCAGATTCCTCCCCTCCTGTCCGGGAGAGAAGAGACAGTTTCGATGTCATGTGGAGACAGGAGGCTGTGGTCAACGAGGGGAGGCTGTGGTCAACGAGGGGAGGCTGTGGTGGGGGGTGGCGTTCTGAGTCACTTGGCTGGCTTGGGAATGTGAGCTGGGCCAGGTGCACCTTAGAGAGCCTGGGTGGTGCTGGGGACCTTCAGGCTCTGGAGTCCTGGGTGACCCTGACAGGTGCATGTACCCACATCTCCTTGGCCCCTGTCTCTGTTGCTAATGTCCCTGCACAGACCCCCCCCAGCCGTCATTTACAGATTCCCAGCAGTGAAGCACACGGGCTTAGGTTAAAATCACTGAGCCCCTTGCACAGCGGCCTTCTGGTCCCCTCTGCTGTAAGGCAGGACCACCTGTCAGCCCCTGTCTTCTGGGGACCCCACTAGGCCTAAGAGATGAGGCTGTGGGGTTCTGTCTTCTGGAGGCCCCACTAGGCCTAAGAGATGAGGCCGGCGGCGGAGGTCTGGCCTGGAAGAGAAATGTGGTGAGTCACCCCAGGCCTGACAGATTCACTCAGACCTGGTCCTTCTGCTCCTAGGCTGAGCCATCTCTCAGGGACCCTCCTGCCCTCCTTCACCTCTCACCTGGCCTGCCCCAACCAGTTCTCCAGGCAAGCCCAAACCAGTTCCACCTGGTTTGTGACTGTGTTTGGAAAGAGGGTCTTTGCCGAGGTAATTAAGTTAAAATGAGGTCATGTGAGTGGGCCCTGAGCCAGTCTGATGGGTGTCCTTACAGGAAGACATTAGGACTCCCAGAGGGTGACTCCAGGGGCAGGTGGCTTGGAGGACTGGCCGTGCAAGGAGGCAGCAAAGGGGCGGCCATCTGCAAGCTGAGGGCAGAGGCCTTGGAGGAAGCAGCCCTGCCAGTGCTGGTAACTGTGAGTGCATCTGTCTCTGTTGGTCAAGCCGGCAGCCTGGGGCATTTTGCTGAGGCCGCCCCAGCCGCCTAGCATAGTCGCCAATAAGTCCCCGAGGTTCTGGTGTGCTCTCTGGACTAGTTTCCTGGGGTGGCTGCAACAAATTGCCACAAACACAGTGGTTTAAACCACGCAAATGTCGCTCCCGCAGCCTGCAGGTCGGAAGTCCAAACCAAGGTGCTGGAAGGGCTGGTTCCTTCCGGACCCTTCAGGGGAGAATCTTTCTGCCTCTTTGGCTTCTTGAGGCCCCTTCCTGGCATTGCTTCTTTCTCCACTGACTCCTACCATCAGCGCTGAGTCCTGCCTGCCTCTTATAAGGTACTTCTTTCTCCACTGACTCTTACCATCAGCGCTGAGTCCTGCCTGCCTCTTATAAGGCGCTTCTGGGATGACTCCTGGTGCACCCAATAATCCAGGGTCATCTCTCCAGATCCAGGTTCATAACCCAATCACCCCCACAAAGGGAGGTCACGTGTTCCCAAGCTCCAGGGATCAGGAGGAGGGCATCTTTGGGGGTGATACTATGCAGCTGACCACAGCCTCTCTCCACCTGGGCTCCCACACCCACCCTATTCTGCAGATCTTCAGAGGCCACCTGGGATGTCAGAAGCTTCCAGGAACCAGGAGGTAGCTGCATCTCCTGTCCCTTCCCTGAGTCACCTTGCTGGACTCCACAGTGTGGTGCAGACAAGAAGCTGCAGGGGACAACATGGAAGGAAGCGGGGATGGAGGAGATGGAATGGGATGGGCTCTGGGCCCGGCCAAGCAGAGCAGGATAGGGCTGAGAGTCATCTGAGCACAGGTGGTTCAAATGGCAGAGAAGCTCCACGCTGGAGCGGGGAAGAGCTTGGGCTTTCCGGCCAGAAAGCGCAGGTTTTGGCCACGGCTCTTCTGCCACTCACTAGATGTGGGAGTTTGGAGGCGTTACCCGAGCTCTGAGCCTTACTTTCCTCATCTGAAAAATGGGAATAATGGTAGGGTTAAATTAAACCAAATTTGGTCTGAGGATGCCTCTGCACTTTGAGTCCAACTGCGACCTTAGCAGCAAATGAACTGCAGGCCTAGCTTAGGAGTGTACTTTTGTAAGAAATAGCCGAGTCTTAGCCAATCACAGCAGCTGAGCTTCTATAAATCGCAGGTGGCTGCTGAGTAGTCCATGTTCAAACACGGCAAACCAAGCTGTGACCAATGAGCTGTCTCTGCAGCTCACTTCCATTTTCTGTCTATAAACACTCCCTGCCCACACTGTGGAGTGGAGCTCAGCCCTTGGAACCTCTTCTGGTCTGAGGGCTGCCCACTTCATGAATCCTTTGCTTAATTAAACTCAATTCATTTCAAATGAAACTCAATTGATTGCTAGATTAATTTAAATTTAATTCGTCTAAAGTTTTCTTTTAACAGTTCCTACCTTGTTGAGTTGTCGTGGGAATCAAGTGGAAATTTCTTTTTCACATGGAAAGGGCTTAGCATAGCCTGGCACGTGCTGAGTGTTCAGTGCACACTGGTTATGATGATCACAGTTAGTGTCTCCATCTTTGGTCTGTTCAGCGCTACAGTGTTTGGGGGCCAGCTAGGCAGTGCTGCAGCTGCAGCTCTGTGTGTGTGTGTGTGTGTGTGTGTGTGTGTGTGTGTGTGTGTGTGGAGGGGGCTGTGAGATTGGCGGGCTCAGGAGAAGATGACTACTAGCTGTTGCCAAAGTTTCTTTTCTGCAAGGGAAAGCCACAAGTCACTGGCTCCAATGTGGACTTTTAAAAGGCCTTCCTTCCTTTCTCTCTTACTTCTGGGGAGCCCATGGATAGGAAATGGCACTAAACTGACTTCATCTCTGTACCCTGATGCCTCCATCGCCCTCAGAGTTTACGCCCTCGATGAATCACTTAGAGTGAACTGGGAGCTGTGTATGAGGTGACGTCACCCTGAGATAGAGCTCTGTGGTCACTGGGAGGTGGCTGTGTGCGTTATCTCCCTGTGGCATGCCAGGAGGCGTGTGTGTGTGCACGAGTGTGTGTGTGCATGCATGTGCATGTGTGTCTTTGTGTGTGTGCAAGTGTGTGTATGTGTGTGGATAAGGGAGAGGGAGGGAGGGAGCTGGGCTGTCTCCCCTTCCCCACAAGTGGACCCTGCAGCTCAGAGCCGGAGGTGTGAGCTGAGTTTGGCGTTTGTATGTTGCTTGAGTTGGAATTTGAACTCACAGGGGACAGGAAAGGATGCCTGTCCCCAGGACTGACTAACGACATCAGGCCTGGCTATTGAACTTCCTGCTCTGCAGATCCTGGGTTCTGGGAGGATGAGGAAAGGATGAGCGAAGGCTGGGGGATCTCTGGGGTGGGGGTGGACTCAGTGAGTGGAAAGAGTAAAGGTGTTGGGGGTGGACTCCCTGTCTGTGTGACCGCTGGCAAAGTCCTTGACCTCGGCCAGTCTGCGTTTCCTGATCCAGGCAGTGGGGACATGGTCCTTTCCCTCAGAGGGGTGGTGAGGATTCAATGAACTCCTTTAGGTAGAGCTTGCTCAGGAGCATCAGCTGTAACACCTGTCCTGGAAGGTTGCTAGGTGCCCTCACCCTTTGTTCTGTGCCCACCTCTCTCCACCCCCTCTTCAGCCCGGATCCAGACGAGGCCTGGGGAAAGTCTCCCAGAAAGCGCCCTGACCAGGGCGGTGCCAGCTGGGTTCCTGTTTGCCTAAACCCAAGCAGCAAGCTCTTCAAAGGAACCTAACAAACCGGACAGAGAGCTTTGTTTTTTTCCTCACAGCAAAGGAGACAGAAAAGTTTGCTGAGTAAGTCAGACACCATTAAACTCACAAAAAGGCTCTTTGTTCCGGCCTGAGAGGGGGTGAAAAAAATAAGCGAAGTGGTCGAAGGGCGTGTGTTTGCTTCCGTGTTCTTGGAGTGTTTGGGCAGGGCTCACCCAGCTCACTCTTCCTGCTCTCCCCCATCTCTGAGTCCTCTGCCCCTGGTGATCCCACCTGTTATATCAAAAAATTGCACCACGGCCCAGCCAGAAGGAACGGCTAAGGGCTGTTAGTCCAGCCAGAGTTTCACTTTTAAAATGATGCTACCTAGTACTTAAGTTAGACGCTCCCGCAGGGCTTTCCTGTGCTTTTTCTTGTTGGAAGTGATGTGACCGAGGCTCTTGCCAAAGGTCAGTTAGTTGCTGTCTGAGCTGGGCTTGGGACCAAGCCCCTCGTACCCAGCCTGTTGTCATTTACTGTCATCCCTAGTGCTAGCTGTGGAAAAGTCTGCTTGATTCTAACCCTTTTGTCTCTAGTACAGTGAGATCTATGCTAAGATTTGTTTGTCCTCATTAAATTATAAATTCTTCCAGGCAGGTCACTATGTGGCTGGTGCCCCCCTGCAGTTGTGCAGTGTGCAACCTGTCAGACTGAACATGGCAGCCCTGCTTCTGGGGTTAATACAATATTATTGATTCATTCTTCCAGCAGATGGAACAATGCCTGTGGGGGGCAATTATGCCTTTGCTTCTAAGACTCGTGCTTGTAATGCCCAAAATCCAGTGTCACTGAGCCCAGCTGTGCTGAGAGAAACCAGCAAGTGGGCCAAAAAGAAAAGGTCTCCTCCTCCCAGACACACTGGCTGCTGGAGAAAGCCTGTGTGTTCTTAGGTGGCTGGGCTAGGTGGGGGCAGGCTCATGGGCAGGGGAACCAGTCTCTTAGGTGGGCATTTCTGGGGGGCTCTCATGGGGTGGAACTAACCAGCCAGGCCCAGTTCTCTCCTTTGGCAGCCAGAGAGGGGAGAATGTCAGATGTTTGTGCCTTGACTCAGCAGGTGACGTTGTGAACATTTATGAGCTTTTCTTCCTTTGGGCTCATTTCTTTATCTGTTAAAAGCAGGCAGGGCAGTGCCCAGCCCGCACCTGCCCAGAAGGACAGACAAAACATAAAAGGGCGGGGTGATTGTGAAATATCACTGGGCATTGTTCATGTCAGAGCTCCTGGTGCAGTGCGATGCCCAGGACTTTGTGTGGGCAGGGCTGGTGCTGAAGTGCAGGAGAAGACTCAGCTCTGGCTGAGCAGGCGCTGACCCACACTGCTGCTCTGTAACTCACACCGTTAACAATGGAAAGCGTTGCCTTGTTGTCTGTTTTGTGCATCCATGTTTTCATTCCGATTTTTAGTCCACATCTCTGGAGGGCAGAAAATCTGTCTTATGCTTCTTTTTCCTTCAACTGCATCCTTGGGAGGGTGGTAGATAGAAGACAGACATTCTTTACACAGGTGAGGCCCGCAGGAAGAACCAGGGCCAGTCCTCATGGTCATCACACACCTGGAGAGGGAGGCTTCTGTGACTTTGTGTGTGGTGACAACGCTGTGCTGCTTGGTCTTCCGAATGGTTGGACAGCCTTTGGCATGTGCTCTAGGACGCCCAGAGCTGCAGGTTGGCCTTGACTCCTCTAGCCTTGCCAAGTCCCTCAGGTAGATCAGCCCACTGGTACCTTCAGCCGGCCGGCACCCTCCTGCCCAGGTGGGGCCATGCCTCTGTTGGCTGCACTGTCTTTCAGGAGGGTGTCCTTGGCTCTGGCATTCTGGGCTCCTAGAACAGAACTGCAATGGTTTTCCTCAGCCTGCGTTCCTGACTTCTGTCCAGCTTGTGGTCTGCCTTGTGGCTCCCTTCCCTGGGGACCGTCCCCTCTGTCCCCCACCAGGAGGGTCATGCCTGCCACACACTGCTCCTAACAACCCGCCCTGTGATGGCTCTGGCTGGTGACCCGCAGCTGCTGGCCAGGCTGGGCTGAACCCGGATGGCTGCGGATCAGCAGAGCACGCGCCCCACCGCGTTGGGCCTGCTCTCGGATATGCTGCTGGTGGACTGACTCATAACTAGCGCTTCCTCTCAACAAAAACAAACACCCAGGGAGAGACTCAAGGGCCCTCCTTGGCTAAACAATTCTTGAGATTGAGTTGGAAGGGAAAACCCATTACACAAAGGGCTTTGCAGGGGAAGAGGGGAGAAGGCGAGAAGCCAGAACAAACACAAGAAGGCCCAAGCCACCCAGGGACTGGGAGAGGGACTCCGGCTCAGGTGGGCGCGGCCATATCCACCTTTTTGGGACTGAGACACTGAGCACATTTGCTCACTGCTTTCCCTCCGACAGCTGTTAAAGCTGGTGCTTTGAACCCAGCCCTGGGCAGGGTCCTTGCTGGCTCCGGGAACCTCCATTCTTGCTGGGCTGACCCTTTGCACAGCGGGCTAGGGCAGCCCTGGGTGTGGGGCTCCAGCTCACAGACAGTGTGATCATGAAATGAGGAAAGTGTGGGCTTTGGAGTCTGTGAGACCTGGCTGCAAAGGCTGCTCTGCTGGCCCTAGCTTTATGGGCTCAGGCAAGTGACTTAACCTCGCAGAGTCTCAGTTTCTTTATCTGAGAAATGGGTGGTGATGCCTACTTGGGAGATTGCTGTGAGGATTAAAGATGACCTATGTACAGTGCTGGAACATAGGAGGCAGTTACTACCTAGCAGCTAATCTTACTTAATTAAATATCTTCCCCTCTCAAATAAACCTTCTGGGTCTAGCAAAGAAAGTTGAGTAAGATACAGGCCTTCTCCACTGGACACACACAGCTCCTTGGGGACCATCTGGTGGGATCTCATTCCCAGGCCCCAGGCCAGATGCTCATCAGCACCCAGTGAGGCCACAGCCAGCCCTGATTCCAGGTCACTGGCCCACCTCTGGTCATAGTGGCCTCTTCTGTCTTCTCATCATCCCACAGTTAGGCAGGACCTCCCATGAACCAATGGAAAAATGCCCAGTAGTACAGATGCCAGCATGCTGACCAGGGAACAGGCACAGGTCACCTTGGGCTCGGTGTGGAGCCATCAGCTGGCCAGGGGGACCTCACTGTCCTCCTGGTTGCAGAGGAAGGCACTGGGCTTGTGGGAAGAGTCTTAGAGAAAAACTTTGCAATGGGGCATGGCCACAGGACTGAGGGCCAAGCAAAGACTACTGATGAGAATTTCTGTGGGGGGAGAGTTTCATTTCAATGGAAGGAAGAACTTTTATCAGTAAGAACAAAAACTTCACTGTTGAAGAATAGATTCAAGGGCACCTTCACCTTCTTTGTCCCTCCTTGACTTGGCCACTGGTGGTAGTGTGTGTGCACATGTACGTGGGTGTGTGTGTGTTGTTCAGCTTAATAAATAACACATCAAAATCATGCAGTGCAGTCAAATTCATATGAGAAAAAAATTTGTTTGTTCTCAAGTTCTGTGAAAGTAGATATACCTGAACCAGCCAACCACTGACCTCCAACTACCAAGTTCTGCCAAAAGTTGTGACACTCAGAGGACAAACCAGTTAAGCAGTGTTTGTCAAAAAATATTCCCTGGACAAGACTTATTCCTGTCTGGGTGTGTCCACGTTACAAAAGCATGTCTACACCACATTGCTACATCGATCTTCAGAACGTCTGAGTGAAGTAGGCAGGAGGGTATTGTCTTCCTTTTGCAGAGGAGGAAATAACTTGCTCAAGGTTACATGGCCAGCAAGTAGCAGGCTTGGGAGAACCAGGTCTTCTGGCTGCTTCACAAAGCCTGATCTAGAAAAGGAGGGGGCTGCCTCGTGAGTCCCGTGGACCCAAACTGAGATCAGATGACAGAGGATCAGATCATGGAGACCTTCTGGAGTTCATAATTGTACCATGAAAGCATTGTCCTGCACGACAGTGAGAGCAGAAGTTGGCACAATTTTTAGATGTGTAATTTGGCAATATGAATCAGAAACCATAAAGGTGACTATGGGCTTTGACCAATTATTTTCATTTCTAGGACAGTGTCTTCAAGAAATAATCAGAAATGGGCACCAGGTTAAAAAGTTACACATAGGGTTACCGTATGACCCAGCAATTCCACTCTTGGTGTAAGCCCAAGAAAATGAAAACATGTGTCCACACAGAAAAATTGTATGTGTTTATAGCAGTACTATTTATACTAACTGAAAAGTGAAAAGACCCCAATATTCACCACTATTGAAAAAATAAAATATGATCTATCCATATAGTAGAATATTATTCTGCTGTAAAAAGGTATGAAGTAGTGATATTTGCTGCAACATGGATGACCCTTGAAAACACTGCGCTAAGTGAAAGAAGCCAGGCACAAAAGACCACATCCTATGACTTTGTTTATATAAATCCAGAATAGGCAAATTTGTAAAGCTAAAAGTAGAGTAGGGTTGCTTAAGTTTGGAGTAGGAAAGTTGGGAAGATGCAGATTCATTGCTAATGGGTATGATGTTTATTTTAGCAGAACAAAAATATTCTAAAATTAGATTGTGGTGAGGGTTGTACAACACTGAATTATTTTTAAAATGTTAAACTGTACACTTTAAATGAGTGAATTACATGGTATGTGACTTATATCTCAACAATTTTTTTTCTAAAAAAAAAGGGCACCAGGAAGTTCTTCTCATCAGTTTTCATAATAATAAAAAAATTTGAAACAATCCAAGCTCATAAGGAAAAGAAATAATCAAATAATTATAGTACACCCATAGTTGATGTATAAAGAAATCAAAAAATATAATACATAAAAATATTTTAGACAATGAGAAAATGCTCATGAAATATTAAAAATTATAAAATACAAATGTATGTTTAGTGTGATTTCCATTTTATTTTAATTTTTAAAAATTAAATGTTTTATCTTTTAAGAAAGAATTTTAAGAAAGAATGCAGAGATCCTGTGTATCTTTCACCAATTTCCCCAGATGGGAGCAGTTTGCAAAACTGTAGTACAAGACAGCAACCAGGACATTGACCTTAATATGGTCAAGCAACAAAACATTTTCACCACTGCAAGGATCACTTGTGTTGCCCTTTTATAGCCATGCCCCCTTTCTTCCTGTGCCATTCTCACCTTAATCCCAGGAAACAGCTAACCTATTCTTCATCTCTATGATTTTGTTATTTCAAGATTGTTATAAATGGAATCATATAGTGTGAAACCTTTTGGGACTGGCTTTTTTCACTCTACATAATTCACTAAGACCCATCTAGGTTGTTGCACTTATCCTTAGTTCGTATTTGTTTAAAAACCTGTACACAGCGTGTGTAGTAGTTTTATTTGTAATAGCCCAAACCTGGAAGCAATCCAGAATTCTCCAGGGAAACCATCTGGGCCTGGAGATTTCCTTTTTTAGGAGGTTAAAAATTACCAATTAAATTTCTTTAATAGTTACAGGGCTATTCAAATCATCTACTTTATATTTGATGAGTTGTTATAGTTTACATTTTTCAAGGAATTGGTCTATTTCATCTAAGTTGTCAAAATTTACGTGGATAAAGTTTTTGTGGCATTCCATGAGTATCCTTTTGATATCTGTAGGGTCTATGGTAATATCCTTGTTTTATTTCTGATATTTGTAATTTATGTCTTTCCTCTTTTTTCCTTTGTCAGTCTTACTAGAAGTTTACCAATTTTATTGATCTTATAAAAAAACTAGTTCTTGATTGATTTTCTCTATTTTTTTCTGTTTTCAATTTCATGGAGTTTGGTTTTTATTTCTTTATTTCTGCTTTCTTTGGATTTACTTTTTTTTTAGGTTCTTGAGGTGGAAGCTTAGATTATTTATTTGAATTTTTCCTTTTTCTAATATATTCATTTAGTGCTATGAATTTTCCCCTCAGCACTGCTTTAGCTGAGTGCCACAAATTTTGATATGTTGAATTTTCATTTTCATTCAGTTCAATGTATTAAAAAATTATCTGGAGACTTCCTCTTTGACCTCTGGGTTATTTAGAAGTGTGCTATTTAGTTTTCAAGTGTTATGAGATTTTCCTATCATTTCTCTGTTATTGATTTCTAGTTTGATTCCATGTGATTGGAGAACACACGCTATAAGATGTGAATTCTTTTGAATATGTTGAGGTTTGTTTTGTGGCCCTGAATATAGTCTATCTTAGTGTATATATTTTGAAGTATGGGAAAATGTTCATGATATATTATATAAAAATATAAATTATAAAATGTGTGTATAGTGTGATTCCAATTTTATGTTAACTGCCCTTTATTTTCCTCCTTATCCTCTTCTGAATTATCTAAAGTTAAGAATTCTACCTTTTATGATCAGAAAGTTTTTTTTTTTAAATGGAAAGAGCAGTGGGTAGTGTGTCATAAGATACAAGTTTAAAAACTGGGCTCTCATTTTCTAGCAATGTGACCCAGGCACTGCATCTCATTTTATCTAATTGAGCCTCATTTCTAAAATCTATAAAATGGAAATAATAAAATGCCCACTTTATAGAGTTATTGTATTAAACAATCCAAAGCCAGCATTTATTAAATGCCCAAGCAGTGTGCACACGGTATGGTGGTGTTTCTATTACAGTGAGGAAGCTGGACTCTTTTATCTCTTGGGTCCCTTGCGACTATTTGCTTTTAAGCCTCTGTGATTCTTTCACTGAGGAGCAGACAGAAGTCTGAAACATATTGTGTCTGTGGACAGAACTCTCCATAAATTGCTGTTCTCCAGATATTTCTGGAAGCCTGGGAGTATAATTGGGATGTAACAAATTTGGACTTTTTAGCAATGTTCCAATTTCAAATGTTCTGTCCTCTTGCTCCCCTAGTATAACAGTAATGTTTTCACCATGCAATTTCATTTCTGGTTAGAAAAATGTGGATATTAGGTTAAAAGATTCACCTGAAAGGAGAAGAAAAATTCTTGGTTGTCTGCCATACCCTTTACTAGAAACCTTTCCCCTCTTCTTAGGCCTGTGATTGTTCTCCAAAGCAGGTGATTGTAATCAAGCTCCCAAGAACCAGGTTATCAGTCAGTTTTACAGCCCTAATTTCTCAATGGCAGGAAAGGAGTGGGGCCTGTAAGATGAGTCAAGGAGGGACAGGGTTTCCTTGGTATTACTTAATTTTAAAGTCCTTTTCCCTGCCCATGCATGACTCCCAATCCACCGCTGGGCTGGCCTCTAGAAGAACCGCTGTAGGAGCTCTCACCCTGCCAGGGCCACCTCCGGTCTTCTCTCTGTGTCTTCCACCCTTCCTTGGCCAGCAGACAGTCTTCTGGTTTTAGAAGTGTCTTTTCTTCCTACTTGTGTGGTATTCCCTTCCAAATCCACCCTATCCATGTGGATGGAGTCTTCTTGACCAAGAGAGCCAGGGTCCAAGCTTTTCTAAGGATATTCCAGAGGATACTAGGGTCTATTCAGCCAATGAACCCTTAGCCCTGCTTCCAGACTCGGTGTACTACCATCCCTCTCAAAGCTCCCTGTTCATCCAATGTGTAGTATCTACTGATAATTCAGCATCCCGTGCCAACCAGTCATGCCCCACTCTGTGATCTTAGGGTGGCGGATGCCTATTTATACATTGCCCTTATTTTATTTTACACCCTTTATCACCTGGGTCTGTGAGTTTCTTGGGTTCAAGGACTTTTCTCATTTGTTTTTGTTTATTTTGATCAAGGTAAATATATAGCATAAAATTTACCATTTTAGGTACACAATTTGGTGGCATTAAGTGTACCATAGTCTCAATGCCTTAGTCTCAACACTAAGTCACATGAAATCAAACTAGAACTGTCACCACCATCCATTTCCAGAATTTCATCATCCCAAACGGTAACTGTCTACCCGTCAAACAACAACCCCAGCTGGGCGCAGTGGCTCATGCCTGAGGTCCTAGCATTTTAGGAGGCCGAGGTGGGCAGATCACTTGAGTCCAGGAGTTCCAGACCCGCCTGAGCAACATGGTGAAACCCTGGCTCTACAAAAAATACAAAAATTAGCCAGGAGTGGTGGTATACGCCTGTAGTCCCAGCTACTGGTGACGGGGGAGGCCTGGGAGCTGAGGTGGGAGGATGGCTTGAGCCTGGGGAGGCGGAATCTGCAGTGAGCCGAGATTGCACCATTGCACTCCAGCCTGGGTGACAGAGTGAGATACTTTCTGAAAAACAAAAAAACAAACCAAAACAAAACAAAACACCCCAACAAACCCATTTATTTTTGCATCTTCTGTCTTCTATGTGAGGACCTTTGCCTAGCACACATCCAGGCAGACATATTGTGACATTGTCCACAGACATGAGACATACTGTGAAGGTGCCCTTGAGTTGTGCAAGACAGTGGTCAAGCTCCCATCCCACTTCTTAACACATGGCGGGACCTTAAATGTTCTTAAAATTGAACCAACCGGAAAGCAGGATATTATGGGCACACTTTTAATCCTTGGCTCTTGGGGTAAACTGCCCTCAAGAAAGACCTTGACTTTCACCCTGGGGAGAAGATCTCTCTTTCATGGCCTTCCAAATTCTGCGATCTGTGGCATTAATTCTGCTCAAATTGATTTCATTTGTCTAATATTTTCAGCCTAATGAGACAGTGGGCTGTGCTACGTGACCGAACCAGCAACTAAAGCAACAGGGCCTTCCCCTTGGGGTGTCCATTCCCCAGGGTCGGGCGATAGGAACTTCCTTCCAAGCGACTGAACCAGCAGCTACAGCAACAGGGCCTTCCCCTCGGGGTGTCTGTACCCTACGGTCAGGTGATAAGAACTTCCTTCCATGCGGCTCTCGTCTTTGAAATCATGACTTTAATGGTGGTGATAAGACCACAGAAACTTTTGCTACTTGAATCCTCTCAAGGGCAGCTTAGAAAAAGTCAATTTTGCTAGAGACATGGGGAGACACAGAACTCCTCCATATGAAATACATCATCCCTGTTTTAGGACAAAAGAGCGGGTCTGTGGGTATGAAGTGGACGGCACCCTCCTCCCTTCAAGCGCAGCCCAGCCCTCCTCTCCCCTCCTCTCCTGCAAGGTGTCGGTGATTCCTCCGGCTTGCCCTGGGCTCTCCCTTCTCAGACCAGGCGCCTCTGTGGTCAGCATTGTGCGTCTGGTTGCTTACATGCCCCTGCTTGTTTACGGTGATTGTTTTGTGTCCACAGATCCTGGAGAATGAGCTATTTGAGGAACAAGACTTAACTTTGCTATGCATAGCTCATCGAGGACGTTCCAGCAGAACTTATTCCCTGAGTGATAAAGCATACAGGGTGTAGGTTTCTGTAGAAAGTCAGACAGAAACAGATGGAACTAAAGAAAACACAGTTAGAGGGGTCCCCAAATAACTGACTTGTGCTTGTCTCTTTGGCTTTTGCATTATCTCTGAGACGCAGAATGTACCTGGAACATTCCCCTGGAGGGCAGGACCTGTGAAAACAGGAGCAGGAGGAGCTGGCATCAGCTGTGCTTGCTCCCAGTTCTGCAGCCTGAAGGGAAAAGGCTCCTGAAGCTTTCTTACCACAGGAAGGAAAAACAACTTGCATTAAGGCTGTGTCCCAAGATCAAAGACATTCTTAAACAATGAATGAGTACCAGGGAAAAATATGTTAGGCCAGAGTGGAAGTTGGGTTGTATTTGGAAAGAAGTGGCGGTACCGAGCAAAGATGGGGAGAGAGGGTCAGGAGTAGAAGAAACAGGCCGGGCACGGTGGCTCACGCGTGTAATCTCAGCACTTTGGGAGGCCGAGGCGGGTGGATCACCTGAGGTCAGGAGTTTGAGACTAGCCTGGCCAACGTGGTGAAACCCCATTTCTACTAAAAATACAAAAATTAGCTGGGCATGGTGGTGCATGCCTGTAATCCCAGCTACTCAGGAGGCTGAGGCAGGAGAATCGCTCGAACCCGGGAAGCAGAGGTTTCAGTGAGCCGAGATTGTGCCATAGCACTTGAGCCTGGGCAACAAGAGTGAAACTCTGTCTCAAACAAACAAAAAAAGGAGTAGAAGAAACAGAAGACACGAAGGCAGTAGTTACGGAGAAAAAGCAAAAACAGAGAGCAGCGGAAAAGAGAGAGGGCAGAGATCTGGATGTAGAGAGATGGTGAAAGGAAGAGAGAGAGGGAGGGTGAGTGAGAAGGAGGAGGAGGACAAAGGAAAAAGAAAATGGGAGAGGAGAGCACTGGCAGAGCAACCTAGGCTTTAAAGAGCGAAGAATGGACCAGGCGCGGTGGCTCAAGCCTGTAATCCCAGCACTTTGGGAGGCCAAGGAGGGGAGGATTGCTTGAGCCCAGGAGTTTGAGACTAGCCTGGGCAACATAGTGAGACCCTGTCTGTGCAAGAAAAACTGTAAAACTAGCTGGGTGTGGTGGCAGCGGCACACACCTGTGGTCCTAGCTACTTGTGGGGCTGAGGCAGGAGGATCGCTAGAGCCTGAGAGATTGAGGCTTCAGTGAGCCAAGATTGTGCCACTGCACTCCAGCCCAGATGACGGAGCAAGACCCTATCTCAAAAAAATTAAATTACATTAAATTAAAAATTTAAAAAAGTGAAGACTGGAAAAACAAGAATGAGATTTACAAGAGAATTAAAGGCGATGAGAGTTGGAAATACAAAATGGACAGCATGAGAAGTCTGGCAGAGAAAAATTCCCATGTAGGGAAATTGAGTTGGGCCACAGAGAGGAAGGCAGGAGGTCAGATGGAAACACAGAAGAAAGGATTTAGGTCACCACATCTTTTATCGGCCATTATAAAGAAGCCTGACTTCAGTCTGTGTTTATGGCTCTTGAACACAGACCCGAGGCAGCCTCTAGGGTGCAGCATCTGGGCAGGTGAGATGACCTTTGTCCTCCACAGGGAAAATGTGGTCAAGAATATTCAAAGGGCCAGGCGCGGTGGCTCACACCTGTAATCCCAGCACTTTGGGAGGCTGAGGTGGGCGGATCACAAGGTCAGGAGTTCAAGACCAGCCTGGCCAACATGGTGAAACCCCGTCTCTACTAAAAATACAAAAAGTAGCTGAGTGTGGTGACACACACCTGTAATCCCGGCTACTTGGGAGGCTGAGGCAGGAAAATCGCTTGAACCCGGGAGGTGAGGTTGCAGTGAGCTGAGACCATGCCACTGCACTCCAGCCTGGGTGACAGAGCAAGACTCCGTCTTGGGAAAAAAAAAAAAAAAAGAATATTCAAAGGGCTGGAAATAGGGTAGACATTCACCATCCCTCCACCTGGCTATGCAGCCATCGTGATGAAAACTTGGCTTCTGTTTCAGATCTTCTTTTGTGGGACCCCTCCCTAGGCTCTGGGAGGAGCCCCACAGAGTATTCACATAGTCATATGTTTTTGTAAAATTTGCAAAACTAATGTTTCAACTGCTGTCAGCCATACTATGGTCCTGAGGCAGTCTGCAGTCTCTCCTCGTACATTTATATGATCTCTAGAAGCTCCAGTGTAGACACAGCCTCAGGAATGCTCCTACCACCCACGGGCACCGCAGCACAAGGGTCCTCTGGACCTGTGACCTTATTGCCATGGGATGCATCCCACAGTGCTGGGCCCTAGAAGGATGGTGGAAGTGGAAGAGACAGAGATTTGAAATGTAGGCAGCCAGAGGCTGGACCATGGAATTCTCACAACCATCAGACGTAAGACAGCAAGTGGAGGATGCGGTTCCTATCAAGGCCTGATAATCACAGCTGAAGTTCTCCCCTGTCAGAAAGAGCCACAATAATGGTGCTTATGCAATTACAAATGCATCGTGCACCTTTTTTGTCCTCTCTTGGATCCCACAGCCAATATTGGAGTGATTTTAGTTCCAAGATGTGTACCACGCCTGTTTGTATGTTGTATTAAACAGCCTGCCTGAAGGCAGGAGGCTCTCGGTGCCTGGTAAACAGCACAGGGCCTGGTCCACAGCAGATGCTCAACAAATAATTGTAAGACTGGCGAATGCATGAATGAATGAAATATGCATTGAAATAAATCTCTGATTTTTCATTCTCTAAATGCCATCCATATATCTTTGTGTTCATTACAGCAAAAGAGGCCATAGCAATAAAGATAGAATCACTACTTATGGGGGGGCCATTCTCTTTTCACACCTACTACCTTCCCTTCCAGAGGGCTGATGCAGGGTTAGAAATGAGAATGTGAGGCCAGCCGCAGTGGCTCACGCCTGTAATTCCAGCACTTTGGGAGGCCAAGGTGGGTGGATCACCTGAGGTCAGGAGTTCGAGACCAGCCTAGCCAACATGGCAAAAACCCCATCTCTACTAAAAATACAAAAATTAGCCGGGCATGGTGGCTGGCACCAGTAATCCCAGCTACTCTGGAGGCTGAGGCAGGAGAATCACTTGAACCTGGGAGGCAGAGGCTGCAGTGAGCTGAGATCATGCCACTGTATTCCAGCTTTGGTGACAGAACAAGACCTGTCTCACACACACACACACGCAAAAAAAAAAAAAAAAAAAAAAAAAAAAAAAAGAAAGAAAGAAAGAAAAAGAAAGAAAGAAAGAAAAGAGAATGTGGAAGGGAATAGATTCCAGCATCACGCTCTATTTTCCTTGCTGAAGCCTCTGTGTTCTAGGTTAAATAAATCTGTTTTTAGCCTTCCTTCTTTGGAGTTTCCTGAGGTCCCTGCAGGTTTTTTTTTTTTTTTTTTTTTTTCGTTTTTTTTTTTTTTTAACAGAAGGCTTGGTTATTGCAAAACCTCTTTGCATGTTTTTGTTCTCTTTCAGTGGAGACTCTGTTTGGCAATAGAACTAAAGTTTCCTCACAGGTTTTGGGTTACAGATAGGGTCTTACTCCATCCCCAAGTCTCCTTTGGGATCACAGTTTTTTAAGAATTGTGACTGTGCAGAACCAGGGCTTGCATAAGGCCACCAAGACTCTGGATTCAGAAATGGAAAATTTCCTTTTAAAATTAGGTAGGGGAGTTTGAACCAGGATTTTTATTTGGATAGCCTAATTCTTGGAAATGCAGCTGGTATCCCTTGGGATATTCCATAAAAACTTTCACGCATAGCTTCAGGCATTTACTTATTCCTTGTAAGTCTTGATGGAGAGAGGTTTCCACACAAAGTGCTGTGATCAGGACTTCAGGAAACACAAAGAGGCTTTTTTATTCTGCGCAGGCCAGGTTCCCACGCAGGTGAACTGTTCTGCAGTTTGGTTTCGCCTGCAGACATCTCCAAATCTGTGCTATGGTGAAATTCTTCCTCAGGTCGAATCAAAATCTTCTCTGTTGATGTTTAAGACCACTTTTTTGTTTAAGGCCATTTAGTTTTTACAGGAAAAGAGGAACAGCTCTTTACCTTCTGCCTAATCTCCCTTTCTGAATTGAAAGACTGTAATCTAATCGCTGTGAAGTATTTTCTTTCCCAAGCGAAAGAATCACAATTCTCTGAGCTTCTGCTCTTTGGCGCATTGATAACCACGGGCGGGAAGAGTGTTGGGCAGCGTTTAGAGTCTCTGGCAGGCTGACCACACACTCTGGGTTGTTAGAAGCTCTTTCCCGACTACATCTGTCGTCTAGGCCGGGAGAGTTCAGGGAAAAGTTCTGGGGCTTCAAGCCTGCTGTGCAGAGGGAGAAACTGAGGACCAGGTATGAGCCGAGCCCAGCCTGGCCGACGGGTCCTGCGGGTGGCGCAACGTGAGGCGTCGCTTGGTATCTGGATTCTCTCGAGTCCACAGGCAACTGGCATCGCTTATTAGTCACCCTCCATTCAGTGTGTAACCTGACAATATCAGCGGTGCTTTCCGGACAAAGAAGCTAACAGAAGAAAGCCAAAGTTGTGTCATCAGGCTGGGCGGAACGAACGCGAGCCCATCAGCAAAGAGCCTGCTTTGATCTTCATCGTGGGAGGATGGAGGGTCTGATGAAGCCGCGACAGTCTGCGTCTGGGTGGGGCGGGCCCTGCCCTGGGAGCGCAGTGGGACGTGGTGAGCAGGGCAGGCACATAATTTGGGGGGCTTAATGCAAAATGAAAATGCGGGGCGCCTTGTTCAAAACTCATTAAGAGTTCAAGGCAGCAACAGCAGAGCCTTAAGCCAAGTGTGGGGCTTTCCTGAGAAAGGGCCTGTGCGCCTGCGAGGGAGCGAGGTGGGGGCATGTGGTGACCCTCCCACCTGTGGACCGTCTCTCTCCACGCTCCGCACCCTCCCTGGGAAACTTCATCCATTCTTCTATTTGGAAATCCTATTACCTGAAAATCAACGAAAACCTAGAATTTATCATCTGATCCCCCCTCCCATGTCCTCCAACCATCAAAATGTAATTGCAACCCATTTTCCTTTTTCTGACATTGTTCCCTCCCAGTTGCTACAACCTTGCTTCAAGCCCAGATCTCTCACTTGGGCCATTCCCAGGCTTCCTAATGAGTTTCCCTGTCTCACCCTGACCCTAATCTTCATCCCCTAACAGCTGCCAGCGTGCTTCCCATCCACCTCCTTCACACGTGTGACCCATGACTGTCCACTGCCCCTGGAGTTGAGCCCAGGCTCCGCAGGATGGCAGTGGGTGGGCCTCATTGCCCAGCACGCCTATCTCCCCACCGTCCTCGCCAGCATCTCCTCCCAGAGCACACCAGGCTGCCCCATGCATCCAGTCCACACACGCACTCAAACGGCCACTAAGCCAGGTTCCGCTTTAGATCTTGGCTGTGAAGACGCTAGCAAGAGGAGCTGATGCTTCGGTGGGGAGCAAGGCGGAAAAGAAACCCTCATGGGAATGGATCGAGGTGAGTGCCCGGGTTCCGGATGTGCAGGTGCAGGGTCTCCAGACCAGCCTGAGGCCGGAGGTCAGGGCTTGGAAAGTCAGGAGGGGCTTCCTAGAGGATCTGATGTCAGGATCAAGGGCATCAGGATGGGTAGGAAGTGGTCGCTCAAGAGGAGAAGAAGGCCTGCTTCGGGCCCTGTGCCTTTTCCCACACTGTGCTTCAGCCTGGGACACCCGACACCGCCTTGGCCTGGCTTCCCTGCAGACCTGGCGGACAAGTCCCTTCCCTGTGGAGTCTTTCCCGGTACCCACTCTGCTCCCTCCATGTGCTGAGCCATGGCAGACACCTCCTCTTCTTGGCTCCAGGGCACTCTCCCAGCCCTTGTGAGTGTCTCATCCTCGTCTGTTCACTGACCTCCCCTGTTATGTGTGAGTCTTTCTCTCTTGGCATCCCCTGAAGCTCACACACATGAGCACATGCCCGGCACTCAGCAGCATCGCAGAATGTGAGTCTGCATTGAGCCACTAGCTTTATTCTTACAAATGCTGTATTATTCAGAGCAGGGGGAAGTAGCTCTGGCCACAGGCACTGGTCCCATCTTCAAGGAGGACTCTGAGAAGCTGACACGTGTCCCAAGCTGAGCCACCACTGGGGGATAAGGGAGGAACCTTACCCACTGTCAGGTAAGAACCTCTGGACAGAGCCTGGAGAGGAGAGGAGGCCATGTGGAGCATGAAGGCACCTGCTGCTGCCGGAGGCACAAATACGTGGACACATGGAGAGGGGCTGCTGCTCTAGACTCTCACAAACATAGAGAGAATAAAGGGGCCAGTGGGGGCAGTTACATGGAGGCACCTTTCAGACCTGTTTAAGGAAAAGCTTTCCGGGGATAGCAATTTTCCAACCTTTGGGCAACTTGCCTTGACCTCCCTACCATGGTCGCATTCAAGGTCGTGCACACCTGCCATTGCTTACGATGTCATCACTCATAGGCCTCTCATCCTGCATGGGAAATTAGGCCAGATAACCTCTATGATGCTGTGCAAACCTAGGCGTCTACAAGCCCAAACGTTGATCTCAGCCTGACTCTCACCCAGCCTCGGGCCCTGCGGTACCACGTCTGTGCTGTCTTCATGCCCAGGTTGCATCCCAGGCGGTTACACCCTGTGCATGGCTGTGCCGCCTCCAAGGATCCTTCACTTCCTCAGCAGAACTGGGGTTGGGAGAGCAGGGGCTTTCCTGGGATGCTCCGCTGCTCCTCGGCAGGGCCAGACTTTGAATCCCACCCACGCATCTACGGTCTGGAAAGACACACCAGAATTTGTCAAAAGACAGTTTCCCATATTCAAGGGATTATTTCCCTCCTTCTCCTTCCTTTACCCTTGGATCCTCTCCAGAATCAAGTGGATCTGACTCCCTGCATCCCCCGGGGAGTCACTATGAAGTCAGAATTGGACTCAGACAAAGGACGGCTCTGGACCAAGTCCCCAGCAGCCCTTGTGGACCTTGGAGCAGGGAGAGAGGCCGTGAATACACCTGACCCCCTTACAGTGGATGCTTGGGGGCTGCCATAACAAAGCACCACAGATCAGATGCTTCAACCACAGGAAGGTCTCATCCACAGTCCTGGAGGCTGGAAGTCCAAGGTCAAGGTGTTGGCAGGGTGGGTTCCTTCCAGAGGACTCTGGGGAGGGGCTGTTCCAGGCCTCTCTCCTGGGCCTGTGGACAGCTGTCTTCTCCCTGTGTCGTCACACTGTCTTCCCTCTGGGCATGTGTGTCCACGTGTCCCACCCTGACAAGGTTATATTGGCTGAAGGCCCACTCTCATGACCTCGTTGTAGCTTGATTATCCCTGTAAAGACTTATCTCCAAATAAGGTCATGTTCTGAGGTCCTGGTTGGTAGGACTTCAACATATGAGTTTTTGGAGGCAGGGGGCACAATTCAACCATAGTAGGGTCATGTGGCTTTTTCTGACTGCCCATCACCTGCACCCCGAGATGTGAGTTTGGATGAGAAGCTGAGAAGCCCAACACCTCCCAGCTGCTCTGCAATAATGAATGGTGAAGGTTCGTGTAGCACTTTGGCTGCAGACAGATGCGCGTGTGTGGAGCAGGGAGCGGATTGGGACCTCCTGTCGCAAAGATGTGCCCACTGCAGGATTCCCTCTTGTTTTCTGGGACTGCAGCGGCCCCAGCACCTGCATGGGGTCCAGTGCTGGGCCAGAGGGGCAGTGAGACATCACGTCTCACGTGGCAAGTGGGCAGTCCACCAGCACTCCCTCTGCAGATGCCCACACCCAGACACAAGGGGTCCTGTGGCTCCTGGATATTCCTGGCATCGATCAATTCCTTTTCTTTTCTCTAGGTCCTCTCTGCCCAGACAAATTCTGCCTGACAGCTGTTTCCCACTTCCAGGCCTTTCCTACCGAGATCTCTCCAGCACTCACCGCCTCTGTGAGCTCAGCGCCTCTCGGTTTCAGGCTCCTTGCTCTAAGAACTCCTCTCTGGCACAGTGGGAATAGTGTGAGCTTTGGGGTCGGTCAAACCCAGGGTCAAACTCTGATTCACTAGATGTATGGCCTTGGATAAGTTATTCAAAGTCTCAAAGTCTTCGTCTTTTCTTCTCTGAAACAGGCTAAAACAAGCTACTGCACTGACTTGTTTGGAGGATTAAAGGAGCTAATGAAATGCAAGACAGGTGCCTCCCGACAGTGTGCCCCAGTGAAGGCTGAGCTTCTATCATGGGGGGCCTTCAGACCAGAGTCTTCAGGTGTGCAGTAGGCTATAGGTGAGACTGGTTTGGCTAGTGATGACAGGAGATGAATTTCACCATGGGCCAGCAGGGCCACATGTGGTCAGTCTTCAGGAAGTCACTCCCTGGATGTTCAGCTCCCCAAGGTGTGCAGGGCCACCCAGTTGGCTCTCTGAGGCCTAGGCCCACCTGCTATTCACCCTTCAGATGTTCCCCTCCTTATGTTCCCTAAGAGCCTGGCTCCTTTCCCCTCCCGGGTAGTTCGCACACACTACAAGACGTGAAAGACCTGAAGAAGGTGTTTAGGGGACTGCATGTGGTTCCTTCTGTTATTATTCCGATAGGTACTTTCTCCTCCAATTATGGAAACCCTGCCATTGTTTCTAGGTCTATTTAAAGCTTCTCACTTCCCTGCACTTTGAGGAAGGTGCTTGTCCCACCCAGTACTCAGCACCCAGCCTTGTCCCTGTTAGAAAGGGCTCAGAGGAGGCCTTTCCCAGGCACTTCCCTTTCTTGCCCAGTCCAGACCCCTGAGAACCTGTTGCTATGGAAATGACTACCAGAAAAGCAAGATGGTGAGGAGATTGACACATGGTTTGGGGCCAGACCTTTCTCAGAGGTGGTTTTTGGTCTTGTTTTACTTTATGTAGCTTTGTTTTTTGGTGGAGAAACACAACTCATATTCCCCATTGCTACCATTCTTCATGGAGCAGTCTCACCCCATACACGAGTTTTGATACCACATTTCTCTAGCGGAAGCCGTGGGTCATTTTTAGCTGGCTGGTTCTGGGAGCCTTTGAACAGGCCTTTGGAATCTTTGAGGATAAACAGGAGCCGGCAGGGCTGGGCTGCATTCGATTTAAAATTGGAAACACGGGAGTCAGAGGCGAGCTTTATATAGTCTGGGAGTGCAGGAGCCCCAAGTCCTGATTTATGAGGGAGCTCAGTAAAGCACATGGAAGCCAAGGTAATATTTATAAATTCCTTTCCCCTAGGATGGCTGGAATGTTGTTTTGAGCTGCAGTCAGATTGCACCTTTTTGGGGGCTGAGGGCAGGTTGTTTAAATTAGGTTATTCAATGACTGAAAAGAAAGGGATATGCCAGTTGGGCAACTGCCTCTAAGTCTCTGCCACAGAAAAACACAGGGTGGAAGAAAGCTCCACCCGCAGGGCTGGGTCCCTCTGGAGAACCCTGTTTGCCCATTTGGGTGGCTCCTTCCTCCTGCTCCAGCCCCCAGGCCTCCCCTTGCCTATGTCCAACAGGCGAGCACCCACCCCTGGCAGCTGGAGTGACCACATTTTACCAACAAAAAAGTTTACCTTGACATCTGGGTTTGGGGCAGGCTCTTTGGAAGTGCTGACCAGGGTGGGAAAAAGGAAGGGAAAATAAGATAAGGGGAGATGGGGAGGAAGCTAAAGACAGGCCCAGGTGTGACCTAGGTAGACCTGGATCCCGAGGCTGTTGTGTGAGAGGACACACTCACTGCCGTGGGTGAACTGAGTCAGAGTAGCTGATGCCATGCCGTGGAGGTCAGCAATGCTAGCCCGGTGAGAGATGCATTCATACTGTGGGTTTGGGGTCTGCTGGTGAGGGCAGGGGGTTCCCTGGGCATCACGCCCCGTGAGGCAGAAGGAGCCGTGCCAGAGAGCACTGTCAGAGCTGCGTCCCCCTCTGGCCTGGTCTTCCTTACCCCAACACAGAAGGTTGGGAGGGGGCAGAGCCATGTGGCAGCAGACGGTGCTCACTGTGGTGAGGGCAGTGACCCAGCTTCAAGGAGAAGGGCAGACAGAAGATGTTACTGAACAATCATATTCAGGGCCGGGCACGGTGGCTTGTGCCTGTAATCCCAGCACTTTGGGAGGCCAAGGCAGGAGGATCACTTCAGGCTAGGAGTTTGGGTAAGACTGGGCAACATAGAGACCTCACCCCTCCAATTTTTTTTTTTTAATTAGTGGGTCATGGTGGCACGCGTCAGTCCCAGCTACTCTAGAGGTCGAGGTGGGATGATCACTTGAGCTCGGGAGGTTGAGGTGGGACCATCACTTGAGCTTGGGAGGTTGAAGCTGCAGTGAGCTATGATTGCACCACTGCACTCCAGCCTAGGTGACAGAGCAAGATCCTATCTCAAAAAAAAAAAAAATGTGTTTAAACACCAAGGGGGAGGGGAGGGGTCATTCACCTTTGCCACAGGACGCACTTTGACCTTGCTGCCTCTGGCTTCTGTCTGTATAAAGAAGACACCTCCGGCCAGGCGCGGTCGCTCATGCCTGTAATCCCAGCAATTTGGGAGGTTGAGGCGGGCGGATCACGAGGTCAGGAGATCGAGACCATCCTGGCTAACACGGTGAAACCCCATCTCTACTAAAAACATAAAAAGTTAGCCGGGCGTGGTGGTGGGTGCCTGTAGTCCCAGCTACTCGGGAGGCTGAGGCAGGAGAATGGCGTGAACCAGGGAGGCAGAGGTTGCAGTGAGCTGGGATCACGCCACTGCACTCCAGCCTGGGGATCAGAGCCAGACTCTGTCTCAAAAAAAAAAAAAAAAAAAAAGACACCTCCACTTACTACTCTGCTTCTGAGGACTCCCCCTCAGGGAGGATCTGGGGCTGCCAGTTCTAAGCTGAGAGCAGGTAGGACCTTTCCACCACCCCAGCCAGTGCCTGCCTGAGCACAAAGAGCTCTTGATGAAAGGCTCCCAGCACCTGCAAAATCCAGGCCCAGGTGGCTCCAGAATGACTGGTGTGTGGGGTTGCAAAAAGACCTGCCCTGGCGGAATCGCTGGGAGGCTGGGAGGAAGACAAATAAAGACACTGGCGTGCCCTCCTGGCCCAGGCATTGGCAGTGCGTAGGTCCCAACCCTTGTAAGAGCCTCAAGCCTGCACCTGGGAAGAAGGGGCTTAGATGTCAAACCTCAGCCACGTGTATGACAGTGACTACAAAGATGCCCTGTGCAGGGAGACCTTGGTTTCTCTCCTTCCTGCAGAATTTAGGAGACATTCTACAAAAGGTACTCAGGCCTGATGTACTATTCCTTTTGCCTGGCGGTCAGCAGCCATGTGGGGGCTTCTGCCTGCCCCTCCTGCTCACAGCCCCCCACCCCCTGGGGTGCTGCTGCCCAATGAACTCTAGACACTCTGTCCATGTGTTTATGAGGCTTGTTCCCAAATCTTCCCCAGGACGTGTCCAATCAACCCCGACTCCTGAGAGTGGCAGGGAGGGGTGGGGATTTGCTCAGCAAGCTGAGCCTTAGCTTGCCCTCTGCTTCTGTTCCCCTGACAGGAGTACCTGCAGTTACACCGGCCCTGGGCCAGTGCTCACCTGACACCCCACCATCCAGCATCCCCTCAGGAATCCAGCCCCAGAGCACCTGCTTCTGCCCCTTTCTGCTCTTGTCTTGTTCTCGAGCTATGGAGAGGGGTGACTACCCTGGACAGTCTTGCAGTATTAGAGCAGGAAGGGATCTTGAAGGTGATGGTAACAGTAGCTGCCATTATTAAGCACCTACTACATGCCAGGTGTGTTAAGAATGTTGTTCTGGCTCCTCACAAGTGCTGGAGAGAGGCGCTACCGTAGTTACCATGATGGAGGCACAGGTTGGTGTCAGACCTGTAGCTGAGTGGTCAGGGCACAGACCTGACTGAAATCCCAGGTCTGCCTCTTACCCACTGGTGGGACCCAGGGCTGCTTTCTAAAGCCCTCTGTGTCTCCACTTCCTCGTTTGTAAGATGAGGAAGGTAATAATAGTGGCTGCCCCATAGGGAGGTGCCAATTGTCTATGCAGGCCAAGTGCTTGATGGTGCCCTGAGCCCAAGCAGGTGGCATGAGGGTCCTGTCATCCTGGAGGTCCCAGTGGTGCAGTGATGATGGCAAGGCCGGGGCTGGGGCCCAGCTCTTTGTTTTACAAAGGAGGAAACACTGGGTGTTGGTGGGCGGGGGTGGGGTGTCAGGGAGAGAGGATACATCCACCATGGCCTTTTCTGATGAGCTCCGTCTAGTGCCCATCCCGCAAAACATACCTCCCTTTAGAATTGAAGGGATCTCTGGCAGGGCCCCTTCGACCTTCTCTAGGTGTTGCCAGCAGCTTGCAGGGCTAGTGCAGGACTAACGGCTCTGAATTGCTCTTACACTGTGTGTGCCCAACTGCCCCCCAACCCCTCACCATCTCTAGTGCCTGGCACTTCACAACCAGGGAGCACTTGCCAGGGGGAATCAAAGCAATCAGCAGGTCCCTTCTCAACGTAATGGACTCAGGTCTTTCAAGTCCTGATGGACTTTTAACCACTCTTTGCTGCCAGCGTATCCATTTGATTGAGAATATTCAATATTTCCCTCATCCAGACTTGTCTCTCTCTGAGGCACCTTTCCCGCTCCCCCGTATAGGAATTCATTGCATTTTCAAAAAGCACAAAAATGGAGATTCCTGCCTCGTTTCAACCCTGAATTTAACAAGGATCATTTCCATGGAAACCAAAAAAAAAAAGGAAATGAAATAAGGACGAATATCTCATTTATTTCCCTGCAGCTCTCATCCCCTGCTCATCCAAGCCTCCCTCCTTCCAGATGAATAGGAACAGGTTACAGCTGACCCAGTTTCACTCCCAGCTTCAGAAGATGAATCACGGTGGGTTGGCGGACAAGGAATGGGGCAAGCTGGGGCAGCGCGGAAGGCAGTGCTGTTTTCAGGAGGCCTGACCTCTGTGGCCAGAGTCCCCGTCAGCACCGCTTACTGCAGGCCAAGATGCCTCCCACCCTCCAGAATCCGACCGCGGAGGGAGCTTCCAGTCCAGGAGCCTGCGGGAATCCTGGCGGGGGCTGAGGGCTGCAGCCCCCCTGGCCTGGGCATTGGGTGCCTCTTAGGGATCTTGCCTGGGTGCCCTAAGGGGTCACCCGGTGTCCGTCCTGGAGGGCCGCAGAGTCAGCGCAACCTGCCCTGGTGCTCGGTCCTAAGGTCAGCTCTGCTTCTCCCGAGTGGGGAGGGCGTCACGGTTTGCCTGCAGTGGGAGCGTTCCGTGTCATTCAGACGAGCAGGTGGGAAGGTCGGCAGGAGTGCAGAGAAGAGACGCGGGAAGCGGGATGCAGAGAGGTGGGCTGAATCAACCAGGCGCAGGAGGAAGCCACAGTGCCCAGGGGAGGCAGGGGGATGGGGGAGGAGGCGGGAGGCCCCGGGTTCTTGCCCTGTGGGCCGCGTGGGCGCCCAGGAGCATGGTGGGCGCCGGCCTCACTTGGACACCAGCACACGGACAAACTCCTCGTAGTTCACCTGTCCGTCTCCGTCCGTGTCCGCGGCCCGGATCATCTCGTCCACCTCCTCGTCACTCAGCTTCTCCCCCAGCCGGGTCATGACGTGTCGCAGCTCGGCGGCGCTGACGAAGCCGTTGCCGTCCTTGTCGAACACGCGGAAGGCCTCGCGGATCTCCTCCTCGTTGTCCGTGTCCTTCATCTTCCTGGCCATCATGCCCAGGAACTCGGGGAAGTCCACGGTGCCGTTGCCGTCCCGGTCGATCTCACTCATCATGTCCCGCAGCTCGGCCTCCGTGGGGTTCTGGCCCAGGGACCGCATGACCGTGCCCAGCTCGCGGGTGGTGATGCAGCCGTCCCCATCCTTGTCAAACAGGGAGAAGGCCTCCTTGAATTCTGTGACCTGCTCCTCAGTCAGCTGGTCGGCCATGCCAGGGGTGGGGGCGTGGGTGGCAGAAGAGGCCACTGTGGGGTCTCCCTCCCAGTGCCGCAGCCCGGCTGCTGTCCCAGCTCTGGGGTGGCAGGTGGAGATCCGGGCGGCCGGCGGGCTGTCTCGCCCTGGCTTGAGACGCTGGAGCTTAAGAAGCAGCAGAGTCCTCCCCCATCATTGGCAGACGCCCCTGCCCTGCGGTTGCCCGGGCCTGTCCTGTTTAGACAGGAGTCCAGGGCCTGCGAATCGAGCTGACGCCAGCACCTCTGTGCCTGCTTGCACCTGGACCCAGCAGAGCCACGGGGGCCCCGAATCACACCTGCAGTCAGGGCGTGGTGGGTGAGCTTTGGAGCAATCCACGCTGGACTCCTTCCTCCTGAATTTCCCTTTCTCTCCTCCCTCCCCGTCTCCCACCTGCCGCCTGTCTCCCACTCAATAAACTCCAGTGCCCTTTCTTCCCTTGAGTGGAGGGCTTTTTGCAGGATGAAAGGCAGATGAAAGAAACGTCCTTGCCTTTGGTTTCTAAAGCCTCATATAGAACAGGAGGGTTTTTGGAGGAGGAAGGTTTTCCCTTCAGGTAGAAGCAGCGAGTTTTCTTATCTTCAGAATGGACATGAATAGGGAGGGGTTTCCTCCAACCCATTCACTCATCCACCCTTTCACAGATATTTGAGTGCCTACTAGGTGCAGTGTCACTCTGGAAGCTGGGAACACAGTGGGACCGGCAAGCCACCCCCAGTCCTCGTGAGGTTAACTAGCAAGACAGCTAGTTTGCAGGTCAACTGATCGAGGAATGCAAACAAGGTGACTAGGGATTATTGATAAATGCTGATGGACATACAAGGTGGTGATGGACAGGACCCCGAGGTCACCTTTCAGCCTGGTCAAGGACAGACCTCCTGCTGAGAAGCAGCTGTCTAGGCCGGAGTGGCCATGGCAGGGCCAAGGGCTGGAAGATGATCAGTGGGGCTGCAGGCCTGTGAGGGAGGGGACAAGGAGGAGAGACAAAGGAGACCTTGAAGGGCTCAGCCAGGAAGTCCCACTATCATTCTCTGGTCCACATTGCCCCAGGAGCTCCGGGCAGCATGGAGCTGGGGCTGTGGAGCGGCCTCTCCCAGAGGAGACCCGCTTAGGGGGATAGTGGGGTGTTCACAGCACAGACTCGGCTCCCACTCCCAGGGGGCCTGGAGACATGACCCCCAGAGAGGCAGGAGCAGGCGCTTCACCTGTGGGAATCCAAGAAATCCACACTGGGGGAGAAACATGGAGCCCACTCTATTTTTTGCTGGGTGTGTGGGGGTGGGGTAGAGACCGGAAAGGGAAAGAAAGTGTCCTTTTGAGGACCTGGACTTGCCGAGGAGAGACTATGGCAGGAGAAGGGCTCGGATATTCATTTTTTTTCTCTCTGATTTTCCTTCCCTTCTCTATTCAAGTAGAGGCAAGTGTGTCCTTCTGGTCTGGAGGGGGTCTGTGGTAGGGGGAAAATTGAAGCCACCTGCAAGACACCTTCCTTCCTACCTGAGGGCTCCCACAAAGCCTGTGTCCTGAGGGTTTGGGCAGGAGGAAGCAGGAAGGTTGAAGAATCCCTCCATCCCCATGGAATCTTTTCCTTAGAAGAGAAGTTTGTGGACCCCAGAGCAGCAGGGCTCAGGGATGTGGTGGCCACAGGCAGCCTTGGCAAAGAGCCCTGGGGCCCAGGGGTGGCGTGGAGGGAACGAGGTGATGGGCATCTTGGAAGCCACGTGTGTGGGTGACACTTTGGTGACCAGATCCCACCCTCCCCTCCTTTCTCACCCCAGAATATTCGGCCTTGCCTGAGACCTCACACCCCAACAGCTCTAGGGGAGTGGGGAGATGGGCTGGCCAGGACTCCCTGGGGTAGGAGAGGGGCTGATAATAAAGTTTAGATTTAGAGAGAAAAATGAGGCAGCATCTCCATTTGCAGGCTGGGAGCATGCCCTGGGCCCAGGTTACAGCTCTGTCCACAGGGGGCTGCGCAAGAAAGAGTGTGTGCTTTGCTCCTGGGAGCCCCGCCCTTCCTCGAATATTCTGGAGATCTCTTTTGTGGTGGGGAGACCCAGCAAAGGCTGCACACACAGCTTGCTCAAGGTCACCCCATGAAAAGTTCAGCTGGGGATCAAGGTCCCTTTTTTATTTTGGGGTTTTTTGGGGGCTAATTCTGGGACATGGGGACCTTCTGTCACCTTCTGAGAAGGGCTCTTGATTGTACACTGGTGCCTGATGCCTGAGTGTTAGAATTCATATCCCAAACGCACTTTAAAAATATTTAAATATCTCCGCTCTAGATCACCCGAATACCCAAAAATAGCAGGTTAGTAACAAATACCTGAAATTTCCTCCACACCATGAAATAATACACAGCCTTTAAAATGAGGATGAGGATATAACAATGGAAAGGTTTCCATGGAAAATTTTTAAAAAGCAGATAGAAAACTGTATATGTGATATGATTTCATGTATTAAACATTTATATATGTTTATTTATATACATTCACAGAAGAAACGCCTAGATAATCATGTACCAAACTCTTAATAGTGGATACTTTGGATAATAGGATTATAAGTGCTTTTAATTTTCTTATAAATGTAGTATCTTTGCTCATTTAAAAATGTTTTATATTTGCCATATATCATTTCTATTATTAGGGGAAATGACTGAAGATTCAAAAACCATCCCTGATAAAAAATATTCCATATCTTACTGAACTCCCAATATTCTTTCTCTTTCTCTGAGGTTAGGTAATGTGGAGGGCCTGGTAATATTGTCAGCTTTATATCTCTCAGAGATATGAGACTATGGTGAGCATAGCTATTATTATGTATAGAAAAGCAGAATAATTAATAGCCAATAACCACACCCCCTATTTGACTGCCAGAGTGACCATCTAGTGGAAAAGATGCTATGAAGCATTTTTCTTCTACTTTCCCTGCCTAGGGGCTGGAGAGACTTCTTCATGAAGGAATACAGGGACAGTCACAGGAGACAGGAGCACCAAGGGATTCGGACATGTGGCTGACACAGTCTTCTGGAGAGCCCCGGATGGCATCAGGGGGAAACCTGGCCTGAGACAGTGCCCTGATGGACAAGGACAGGAATACGGTCATACCTCCTGCCCACTTGACCAACGACCAGGATGAGAAGCCAACAGGTAACTGCTGGTTTCTGGGTCATGGCTCTGTGGCTCAAACATTAGCTTTTACCTAAATGTCCTTCTCAAAAAGGCACACTGAAAGAGGACTCAGTGCCAGGTGCAGTGGCTCACACCCATAATCCTACCACTTTGGGAGGCCGAGGCAGGCCTGAACTTGAGGTCAGGAGTTCGAGACCAGCCTGGCTGACATGGTGAAACCTCTACTAAAGGTCTCTACTAAAAGTACAAAAATTGGCCAGGCATGGTGGGTGGTGCCTGTAATCCCAGCTACAGCTACTTGGGAGGCTGAGGCAGAAGAATCACTTGAACCAGGGAGGGAGAGGTTGCAGTGAGCCAAGATCGTGCCACTGCACTCCAGCCTGGGAGACAGAGCAAGACCCTGTCTCAAAAAAAAAGAGGACTCAGAATTTTAAACAGCGTTGCTTAGTGCAAAGTGACTCACAGAGGACCAGGACCGCCTTACGATGGGCCATACTGTTGCAACTCGCTGGTTGGGAAACTGTGACAGAGGGAATGTTTTTTATTTTCTGTTTAACTCTCTCCCTGCAGCCTCTCACCCCAATATAGCAACTCCTTTCCCTACAGAATAGATATTATTTTGGTCTCAGGATACATTTAAACATTTAAAAATTATTGGGGACTCCAAAGAGCTTGTGTTTATGTGGGATATATATATATATATATATATACTGTGTTTGCAACTAAAACCAAGAAATATTTAAATATTTAAGTATATTTTTATATATTTATAACTTAATAGAAATAAACCCATTACTTGTTCACATAAAACCATATTTTTCAGCAATCCCATTACTGGGTACATACCCAAAGAAATATAAATTGCTCTATTATAAAGACACATGCACGCGTATGTTCATTGCAGCACTGTTCATAATAACAAAGTCATAGAATTAACCAAATGCCCATCAATGATAGACTGATAAAGAAAGTGTGGTACGTATACACCATGGAATACTATGCAGCCATAAGAAAGAACGAGATCATGTCCTTTGCAGGGACAGAGATGGAGCTGGAGTCCATTATTCTTTCAAACTAATGCAGGAACCAGATACTGCGTGTTCTCACTTATAAGTGGGAGTTAAATGATGAGAACACATGAACACAACACACACTGGGGCTTACTGGAGGGTGGAGGGTGGGAGGAGTGAAAGGATCAGGAGAAATGGCTAATGGTACTAGCCATTAATACTTGGGTGATCAGGCCGGGTGCGGTGGTTCACGCCTGTAATCCCAGCACTTTGGGAGACCGAGGCGGGCGGATCACGAGGTCAGGAGATCGAGACCATCCTGGCTAACACAATGAAACCCCGTCTCTACTAAAAATACAAAAAATTAGCCGGGCCTGTAGTCCCAGCTACTTGGGAGGCTGAGGCAGGAGAATGGCGTGAACCAGGGAGGCGGAGCTTGCAGTGAGCAGAGATCGTGCCACTGCACTCCAGCCTGGGCGACAGAGCAAGACTCCATCTCAAAAAAAAAAAAAAAAAAAACTTGGGTGATAAAATAATCTGTACAACAAACCCCCATGATACAAGTTTACCCACGCAGCAAACCTGCACTTGTGCCCCTCAACTTAAAATAAAAGTTAAAGAAAAACAACATTTTTAAATGAAAAATCAGTATTTTCCAAGACAAGGAATAGGGAGAAGAGTAGCGTTTTACAAAGTAGTTTTGCAAATATCTTTCATGCTTGGCTTTCCAGAAGCAAATCTGCATCTATGCTCAATCTGTGGCAAAATGTTTTGGAGTGTATGATTACCCAGCCTCACACAGGTATGCAGCTGGGGAAGGAGGGAGCATTTGAATAGTCTTGTCAAAAAATTGTGGATATTCTTCTTTGATACTACATCAAAATTTGACAAGTGGTAGTTTCTGAAAGATGAGTTGCAGTGTGGAATCTGAGACCATGTCAGAGACCTTTTCATACTGTTAAATGAAAATCCATTGGTTTCTTTTGCCCTTTGAACAGATCTGTTACCTGTGCATGGTTTTGTAATGCCATGCATTGGTCACTTGGAAAATACTGGTTCACTGGTTGAACAATTACATACATAACATTTAAAAATCCCATTCATTAGGTCAGGTATGGTGGCTCACACCTGTGATCTCAGCACTTCAGGAAGCCGAGGTGGGAGGATTGCTTGAATCTAAGAGTTCAAGACCAGCCTGGGCAACATAGTGAGATCTCGTCTCCACAAAAAATTGAAAAATTAGCCAGGTGTGGTGGTGTGTGCCTGTAGTCCCAGCTACTTGGAAGGCTGAGGCAGGAGGAGGATTGCTTGAGCATGGGAGAGAGATCGAGGCTGCAGTGAGCTGTGATCATGTCATTGAACTCCAGCCTGGGTGACAGAGTGAGACCCTGTCTCAAAAAAAAAACACACATTCATTAATGTCACCACCAATCTCATTAGAAAAGCTGCTAAGTACTGGAGAGGCTCAAGTTCACGGTGACAAATACAAAATTTCAAAAATTCCAATTTTCATTCAGAAGCTCAAAAATTTTTAATGGCCACAAATACTGTCAGTTGTTTTCCTTGAAGTGACAGGCTCACTTCATCCATTCTCGAAAAGATGTCTGCCAAATACTAGGTCTGAGTGATCATGGTTTGTCCATCCGCTGTTCTTTCCAACAAAAAAGATGTTCCATGAAAAAAGCTCACCTTGCTACTCATTTAGTCAATCACACAATGCTTTCCTCATGACAATCATCACACTTCAATATCAGCAGACTATTAAAAATGTACAAGTAAGCTTTGAAATTTAATAAAAATAATTCTGCTGCTCCAAGGATATTTTTAAGTGCAACCAGCTTTTTTGTTTGTTTGTTTGTTTAATGAGACAATGTGGAGTGGAGAGCGTCATGATGCCTAGCACAGGGTTCCTAATTCATGCTAAGGCACTGGTTTTACCCCTGTTGCTTTTGACCTCAGCGCAAATATCAACACAGTGAAAAGGGGAAAAAACACTGGTTTATTGTGAAAAAGTTTTGACCTCTCAGGCCCTCAGTAAGGGTCTTGGGACACCCTATTCCCAAAGAGATCCATGGAACAGGCTTTGAGAGCCAGGTGCCTGGGGTGCTGGGACTCAGGAGTGTGAACTGGGTGTAGAATTCCCTGGGCTGCAGGCATCAGGTAAGGACTCTGGAATTGTGGTGGGACAGTGCTGGCCTTGCAGAGAATAGTATTAACAAAGAATCCAATAGATACAGATAGAAGGAACCCCTACCCCACCCCCCACACACACCAACTGCAGCTGCTTTCTTTGAAAACTAGAAACCCTAAAGCCAGAAGGCCCAAGGTGATTTGCTTTTCCCCCCATGAAGTGGTGTTGTAATAGCCTTTGTTAAGAAGAATTTGTTAAGTGTCCTTTTAAATGTGCCTCTCCTGCTGGGTGATATAAAGATATGAAGATTCTCCAATCTTTAGCCAGTTCCATTCCTGTGTCCCTGCTGGAATGGGTGTGGCTGAGTAGTTCTGAACGCTCTCTCTTTTCCTTGATAAAGCCATCCACCAGCCCTAACACCTGCTCATCAAATTCCTTCCTCCCCAGTGTAAATATTAGCACTTTTATGTAACTGAACCCAGCTTCGGCTGCTCACCGCTTGAAAGCTGGACTCAAGAGACAAGTGCTGGTGGGAGGAAAAGCAGGTTTATCTGGAGAGCCAGCAAATAAAGGAGATGGTGGTGAGCTAGTGTTCTAAACCATTATACCATCTCAAAAATTTCAGGCTCGTCGGGGTTTGTTTTTTTTTTTTATGGGAGGGGGATATGGGGAAGAAGGGAGGATTAGCATCAAAAGGTGATTGAGGACTGCAGACATCTGGGTGCCCGTGAGGGTCCGAGGAGTTTGGGAACTTTTTTGTCCTTGGTGAGGTCACAAGGACCTGCTGTAAACCTTTAACAACACAGTTAATTGTTTATATGCTTTACTTTTAATCTCAGAGTGAGTTTCAAAAACTATAGTTTTTGAACTATATATATATACATATATATACACACATATATATGTATATATATACACACATATATACGTATATATACGTATATATACTATATATGTGTTGAAACTATATATAGTTTCAACACATAGTAAATCTTTAACAACACATGCAAGGACTCCTGTAAATCTTTAACAACACATAGTTAATTGTTTATATGCTTTACTTTTAATCTCAGAGTGAGTTTCAAAAACTACATGATTTCTGTGTTTATGTATTATCTCGGTGCTCTAAAATTATCCTAGCATCTGTGCAGGAATGGGTAAAGGCCCCTTAAACAAAAATGGAGTTAGTTATGTTCGTTCTTTTACTGTTTCACGGTTACATTTATAATGTAAGACATGGATTTGCTGACTATCCTTTGTGTTATGTCTCCATGTCACAGATGATGAATATGAATTAAAGTTGGACAACTAGCAAGTTTAAAACTTGGACTGGGACCTAGATCTTCCGATTCCTACAGCTAGCCTCCCTTTCCATCTTCTCTGTGGTCATCACTAATGCAGTTTTTGACCGTCTTGTCCAGAAGCTGCAAAACAGACAACAGAAGCCAGGACTGGCCCTGCCTTAGATGGCTTTCAGTGCAGGAAAGTATCAAGACAGTCTTGTTCGTAGCGTATATCTCTCTCCACCTTTTCTGCTAAGCACCTCATGTATGCAGCTGCCAATGTAACACCTCCATTTGCGTGTTTAATCACCATCTCAAGCTAATGTAACCAAGCAGACTTCTTGGCCTTCATCCCTGCCTCCTCTAGTCTTCTCATCTCTCTCTCTCTCTCTCTCTTTTTGAGACAGAATTTGGCTCTGTTGCCCAGGCTGGAGTGCAGTGGCACCATCTTGGCTCACTGCAACCTCTGCCTCCTGGGCTCAAGCCATCCTCCCAACTCAGCCTCCTGAGTAGCTGGGTCTTCCCATCTCTTTAAAAAACAATTCAATTGTTCAGAACAAAACCCTGGAGTCATATTTAATTCCTCCCTTCCTCTTGCACTTCTAAACCAATCATTCATCTCTACTTTGAAAATGTTTCTTTATTCATCCAGTGCACCAAGCCACCATCACCTCGAGGCAGGAATATTCAACGGCCTCATAAGTGGTCTCCCTATTTGTGTTATATTCAATGCATGTCTTTTCTTACTCAAAATCCTATAAAGGCTTCTCTTCACCATCCACGACTGTTTCCTGCCTTCCTCACTATGATCCCATCACTGACCCCTCAAGACTATGTTCCAGCCTACTTTCTGCTCCTTGACCAACACCCTTACTCTGATTCCCACTTTTGTGACTTCACATGAGTCCCCTGTCTGCCTGGACACTCTGCCCCCAACCTTGAAGTGCTCACCCTTCCCTGTCACTCAGTTGAAAGTCAAATTCCATTTCCTCATGAGGGCTTCCCTGAATACCCACTTTTAATTAACTCTCTGCCTCCTCCCATCACTTCTGTTTTACCCCCTCTTTTAGTTCCTTCCTATCTTAGTTTCATAAGAGCCAGGGCCGTTTCCGACTTCTTTCCCCGTCAAGCCTCCTTAGATAGGACAGGTCCTCTGCCTCACCGACTTTAATCAGTATTTGCTAAGTAAACAGAGCACAGGAGGATCCTGTTGTCATCAAAGAGCAGCTCTGCCTCCAATGGCGAAAGGATTGTTGGAACCTCATCCTTCCTTCAAGTTCTGGTTCAAAAAATTCCATGCTATGCCTCACATGGCCTTGCCCAGGTGCCTGTTTGATTTGCCTGGGTTGTCTGTTCTTTCTTCCCCACTGTCCTCATTTGCCATGTGGCTCGGTGGTGGCTGGAGACCTCCATGCTGGCCCCTGGGAGCAGCTGCTAAGGCTCGGCGCCTCAGGACACCTTGGCACCTGTGGATATCGACCACCAGGCTTCTCTTCTGTTCATGTCTCTGCAAGAATGAGAACCTGCCCCCATACCATTTGTGCTGTGTAGGCCTCAGGAGGCATGGACTCACGCATCCAGCTTCCTGCAAGCCCTCTGGTACATCGCAGTGTTCACCCCCAGCTTTCTATTACAGCCACCACCCAGGGACTCTGGTGCAGGCTCCTTAGAGAGAGGCCAGGAAACTGCCGAGGTGATAAGTGACAGCAGGTCTCAGGGGAAGAGAGGACTTCTCTCCTTAGTAAAGAACCTGTCGAGGTCGGAAAGACACTCCAGGCTCAAAGCCAAATTTGAAAGTTAGGCTGACAGCCCAACTAGGGCAGATTGGAGGAGCCAGGTGGAGAGAGGATGTGGGGGAGTCAGGAAAGAGGTGGAAGGAGAAGCCTGGAAGAGTGGCTCCGCTCCTGGAGTATGGCCAGCGGCACTTCGTCAGGACCTCGACCTTCACCCACTAGTGGGAGGGTGTTCCTCGCATGACTTGTAGGATCACCTGGGAAACACACAAATGGAAGAATTTAAAAATATCTGCTAGGACACCCCGTGTCCCCCACAACTCATCACAGAGCAAACCCATCACAGAGCAAACTCCTTGGCTACTTCTTGTCTTGGGCCGTCTTTTCATCTGGCCTGTTTGCCTGACTGGACTTTGGGGTCTTTGTTCCCAGCATCAAAATTTCCTACCAGCGACTTTCCATCACAGCTCCCTTCCAGTCTTCTGGAAATTGTCAGATGTGCCTGGATTTGCAGGGCCTGCACAAGATATGCTGTCGATCTGGGATTTTTGGGGATTTTTGCAGTTCACACTCCAATGTGCAACAGCAACCAAACGGAGATGGAGGACGTGAACATGAACTACTGGAGATGCTGATGAAACGTGTGTAAGGACCGCAATGGTATCTGTGTCCTGCTCGTGAAATTGACCAGATACAGCGGCTTCCTTTTGCTTCCGAAGGCCCGGATTGACCTGACAATTGATATGCTTTGCTCTATACTCCAACTCCCATTGACCATGGGGTGAAAGCACCCTTTCTCGGTCAGCCTCACTGCTTCCCCGCAGATGGAGGGATTTTCTGCAGGAGCATGGGCCCTGGGCCTTCCTTTCCCACTGTCTCTTGAAAGCCTCCTCCAGATGTGCTGCCTGGCTCAGCTCTTTGGGTGACTTTTGTTCTGTCTCATGTGACCCATCAAGATTCACACAGGGCTGTGTCCCGGGCAGGGCTGGAGTCGACATTCAGGGAGGAGATCACTGTTCTGGAACAGAGCAGTGATTGGTTTAATTGAAATCTGATAGATCATCATGTAAAAAGCTGGCATGTAAGCATGCTCCCGGAGCCTGCAGGGCCCTGCGCGGCCTCTTGCCTGGCCATCACGTAGAGGCGGTCCTCTTGCATGGTTGGGGGCCTCACCTGCACCACGGGCCCCCAAGCCAAACAGTGAGATTGTACGGAGACCATCCTGGTCAGGTCTTGCAGTTTGCACCAGGTAGCCCCAGGCTATCCTGCCGTGCAAGAGCTGCCTTCTCAGCACAGTGGAGTTCTACGGCTGCCTCGGCTGCAGAGGTCAGCTCTGGAGCCTTGCTGAGCACCTCCATGGATGCATTTTGCAAAGGGCCGAGTAAGAGGCATTAACGTGGCCTGTGCTTAGTTCCTGACAGCAAGCGGGATTAAACCCGGATTAAAGGATCAGCCCTAAACCAAAGCAGACCAGTAATAGGTCTCATGATAAAAGCAGCCAAATAATAATAGTAAAAATCTATTCTTGGACTTATTACTTTCCTGGGAAAAGGGCTATTTCTTGTGAAATATGCAGCGATTGGAACTTTCCCCGACAGCCCACCGTGAGCTCACTCACTGCCCCTGCCTGTGCTGGGGGGTGGTGGGTGGTGAGAGGTGCAAGTGAAGGGTCTGGACAGAGGCAGAGGGAGGAGAGGGGGCAGGGGGATGGGGAGGAAGAATGGGGGGTTCGCTCTGGGATAGCTTCATGATCCACTGAACCTTTCAAACTTGATGCTTGACGTTTTGAAAAAAATGACAGAAAATATGGGCTGGGCACTGTGGCTCACGCCTGTAATCCTAGCACTTTGGGAGGCTGAGGTGGGCAGATCACCTGAGGTCAGGAGTTCAAGACCAGCCTGGCCAACATGGTTAAACCCCGTCTCTACTAAAAATAAGCCAGGTGTGGTGGCACATGCCTGTAATCCCAGCTGCTTGGGAGGCTGAGGCAGAAAAATTGTTTGAATCTAGGAGACAGAGATTGCAGTCAGCCGAGATGCTGCCTCTAAACTCCAGGCTGGGTGACCAAGTGGGGCTCTGTCTCGAAAAAAAAAAAAAAAGTGTACTAGGGGGATGTCGTTGAGGGGCTTAGCCACATGCTACAGATCTTTTTATACCAAGATGCATTCAATGATTAGCTAAGTTGGACAGTTTGTTACTTTAAGCCTCCACAACCAAAGGGGCAAGATAATTATCTCCCAGAGAACAAGTTGATCTTCTTTGAAGGATAAGGAGTTCCCCAAGCAGCAGGAAGAGCTTCTGTTCCCAATTCCAGCCTTTGAAGTTTAAGCTTCAGAAGAAAACCTTAGCATTTAATACAGGAAGGCATGCACGTGTGTGTGCATGTGTTTGTACCCACACATGTGGCTCAAGCTTCCCTGTGACAATGGGTTGCCTGCGGGTAAGCGTGGGATGTGTGGAGAAGGCAGGAGGGTTTAGGGCGTGGGCTCAGTACCCTGATGAGAGATTTAAAGCAGGCAAAGGGATTCGGCAAAGTGCAGCTCCCATTTCATCATTTCTTCAGACCCTGCCTTAGTTATTTACTGCTGTGGTTTTAAACTCTGCTCTTCGAAACCCTTGGTTTCTGCAGAAGTCCTTCGAGAGGTTCGTGGGGGCAAAGGAAGGTGAGGGGCAGGAGCCCAGGCCACCCGGCCTCCTTCCTTTCCCCACGTCTGCTTTCAACTGTTTCATATGCATCATGCAAATCGCAGCTGTCATGGCTCAGGTCCTCATGTGTACAATGGGCGCCATGGCAGCGTCCAGGTCAGAGGGTGACCAGAGTGACATGAATTAAGACACGAGAGGACTCCAAAGAGTGGTCAGGCCTCTCACGTCATAAGATCTCCATAAATGGTCACTATTATTTTGTGTTATTAGGGGTACGCTTTTCATTTGTAAGATGACTTCCATGGGGCCCCACGCCTCATGACCCCGTCTCACCCCCTGCAAATACCATCCCATGGAGAGGCAGGACTTGAGCCTATGAATTTGAGGGGTACACGGTTCAGTCCAAACCTTTTGGTGTTTCTGTGTATCCATTTCTGCATGTGTAAAATGAGGAGAACAGACAGCTTCCGACCTCATCTCCAAAGGCGCACGGAGGAGGTGGAAAGGCCCTCGCCGGAGACTGAGCACTGCAGCCAGCGCAAGGCCGGATTTGCTGCTTCCGCGCGGGGACGCCCTCGGAAAGGTGGCAGGTGCCCACGGCGAGGAAGGGGCGGGAGTGAGGGGTGCGTGGCCCGAGAGAACTCAGTGAAGAAGGCCATTAGGGAGGAAATAAGGGAAACGGGGTGTGCGAAGCTCTGAGCTTTTTCTGCCCGGTTTGGCTGAGGACACGCCACGGGTGAGCATCTGCGCGAGGGGAGCTTGGTGGGTGAGGAAGGAAGAAGACACGATAGAGAACTGGAAGCAAGAAGGGAGGAAACCAAAAGGAACGGGGAGGAGAAAGGGCTTCTCTGGAGCTGCTTGCTTTTCCCAGATTCTCCTGCCATTCCTGGCTCCAGGGAGTCCTGAAGGAACGATGGTTAGGGCGGAGAATCCTGCAGAGGAAAGGAGAGAAAGGACTAGAGGTCACACACGGCTTCTTGGAGGGGAGCGGGGAGCAGGGGCTCCGAGGCTGCGGGTCGCAGGCTCCAGGGCAGGAAGCTCTCCATGGGAACCGTAGTATGAATTCCACCGAGGTGCGTCCCGGCACAGACCCGAAGGCAGCCACATTTGTGGAAATAAGATTTGACGTGCATTTCGGATCCGCAGAGAAGGTGGACTCTGTTTTGCAGAATGGACCAGCGGTGGGGGGTGGGGTGGGGGGCAGGAAAAGACTTTAAACGCTGGCAGAACTTTGTATTCCACTCATTCGTGCATGCATTCATTCAGCCATCCTTTCGCTATCATTCATCAAACTAGCGCGCACTGAGGCCACTTTGTGTCAGCGCAGCGCCTGGCCTGAGGACCTCAGGGTGGTGTCGGCAAAGTTCCGCTGCCAAGGAGTTCACGGGCCGTGTTTCCTGCCAGGCCGCAGACACTCTCTGCGTGGAGCCCGAGGAGGTTCTGTGTGAGATCTCACCCTGCGGGAAGAAAGAGGCGGAGGCTCGGGGTTGGTCCAATCACACCCCTGATGGTGAGAGACGGGCGGGCGGGGCCTGACGCCCACTCCCAGCTGGATGCCTGTCTCCCACCCCGCGTGTCCTTTCCCAGACCCCAAAGCTTCCTGCCTGGTCTCAGTTCTTCGGAGAAGAGGGATTAGAAGCTGGAACAGGTATTTCTGCTAATGGGGCGTGGCAGATCGGCATTTGCGGGGGCTCTGTCACCCCGTAAGATGTCCCAGCAGGAAGCGTGGCGGGTCTCCACTGAGAGCTCCACGGAGCAGCTTTGGCTCCCTGAGAAGTCGAGGTGTGAGCAGTAGCGGCCTTCCCTTTGCAGAGAGAAGGCTTGGGGAGAGAAGACCCTGGTGCCATCTTCATAGGAGGTGGAAAGGAAACTGTATGACAGGAGAATGAATCAGGTTTGGGGCTCAAGGTGCCGGCCACTGGGAAAAACAGCTGCCCCGAGTTGCAAAACTCTGGGTCCTATATGTATAAACTATGCCCTGAGGAAGGAATCTCAGGCGTATCTTAGGAGAAAATGTTCTAGCTTGGGAAACAAACACAACAGGACCGTGAATCCAAATATTTCAAGTGGGTTTAGAGGACTGGAGTTCTAAACGCTGCTTTTACTGTAAGTGATCACGCCCCGGAATGTGCTGAAGAAAGGAAAATGAGCCAGTATCGGCGAGGACTATGGGCAAGGAAAACGAGAGTGTGCGATGTGTCAAAGCAAGACATCTGTGTATAGTAATATAATCAAGTAATAGATAGTCATAGAATCAAGCTGATGTATTTGGCAGGGGCCGCGGGAGGATGAGGCAACTCCCATCAGATTAGAAAGATGTTAACACTGTAACAAAAGTGGGGCTCGAGGAAGGGGAAAAGCGCAGCTCTCTTTTTAAGACGCCAGAAAGTAGTCAGACATGCTAAGAACAAAACAAACACAAACGAAAACCAGCAAAGAAAGCTCTTCGAGAAGAGTAAGGCTACTGATCTTTAGGAATCAAATCATTATTTCCACACATGTCATGAAGAACACAGACATTAAAGCACAAAGGAGAAACTTAAATGAAAGTAGGAGGGAGAAGTCAAAGCTCAAGTAAAGAGATTTTTAACCTAGAGAGGCTGAGTTATCAAGGAAGAAAGAAGGCCAAGCCAGCTTGTTGCAGAATGTTCCAGAAGATAAGATAATGATAGACTTAAATAAATAGGGACTGATCAAGGTGATAGCGAGTTCTTGGTGAAATTGCTTCCAAGGATTTTATAGAAGTGTATTTCATGGAAATGTACAGTAACCGGATGACTGTATTAAAATTTTAAAACTGCTGGGTGTGGTGGCTCATGCATATAATTCCAACACTTTGGGAGGCCAAGGCGGGTGGATCACATGAGGCCAGGAGTTCGAGACCAGCCTGACCAACATGGTAAAACCCTGTCTCTATTAAAAATACAAAAATTAGCAGGGTGTGGTGGTGTGTGCCTGTAATCCCAGCTACCTGGGAGGCTGAGGCAGGAGAATCACCTGAACCTGAGAGGTTGCAGTGAGCCAAGATTGCGCCACTGCACTCCAGTCTGACTCCGTCTCAAATAAAACAAAATAAAATAAAAATCTAAAACTGACTTAGGCAGTTAAGTGTGTTTCCAAAGAACGTAATTGGTGGGAGGCAGAGCGGGCCCGAATTGCCACCTCTTCCCGGCACGGCCAGTGCTCTTCCTCCCACTCCCGGCCACCTCCGCAGGCCCCTGCCCGTGCCAGGACTGGGTGAAGCTGTGAATGTGCTTCTCCACTTGGGGGTGCGGGACAATGCTGGGGCCCTGGGCTGGGTTTCTGCCCTAGGAAGCCTCACTGTTGAGTCAGGGGCTGCTGGAGCTGAGTTTTGTCTTCAGTGGCTTATGAAGGAAAGATGAAGCTATCAGATAATGAGCAGACGCTATGGTGCCCTGGATAAGAGCCTGGGTTCTGGCATCAGGCAAACCTAGATTCGCATTTCCACCTCTTTGATGAACTGGTTTTGTGACCTCACTAAGCCTCAATTGCTTCATCTGCTTACTCTTATTTTAATAAGAATAAAAGGAGAGGAAGAATGAGGTCATGCATCAAAGCCCTCAGCACAGCGCCTGGCACATAGAAAGGGCAGGTGCACATCGCCTGTCCTCCTCAGGTAACCGGGGCAGCGGTGGCTTCGATGTGGTTCTGCCCAGTTTGGGCACCGAGGTGTGGCCGGGCTGCAGTGGATGTTTGAGTAAAGGATAAAGCTGGTGGCAGCTGACTTTACTGAGCCCTGGTGCAGGGGGTTCTCGGAAATCCCACCGCAGAGGGTGGCATGAACCCCAGGGCTGGGGTACATACAGCACAGAGTTGTTCTGTATCTAGGGAACTTGAGGACTTCACATCAGCATCCCACCCTCATGAACTAGTTATGAACTAGTGACTTCTTGTGAACTGGCGGAAGCCAACTTGAAGCTCCAGAACAGGGAAGAGCAACTTCCTGAAAGAAGGAAGCAGGAAGGAGAAACAGCTCGGTGCTAGGAAAGCCATGGTTGACTGAACCCATTGTGGGAAGGAGAGGGAAGGCAAGCTACAGTGGTGCAGAAAGGGCTGTGGGCATCTTATGCCAAGGGAGGAGGAAGGAGGAGACACGGCCAGCCAGGTCCAGGATGTCCCAGCCTCTGGGCCAGCAGAAACGCCAACGCTTCTTAAATGTCACCCAGTTGAGAAGAAGGGGGTGTGGGAGCAGAGCCTGTCATAGAAAAGAACAAAAAGAGTGAAACCGGAGTTGGGGTGAGTGGCGGAGGACATCTGGGTTCATAAGAAAGTGGGATGTAGCAGCTGGGGAAGATGTAGTGCTGGAAAAGAACAGCAAATGTGTATCTTTTACAATTAAACCTCCACCCAAGAGCCGGGGGATCCAAGAAAAGACCTGAAAACATATCTGTGGAAAAGGCGTAGAGTTCTTCGAAGTGGGGTTTTAAAGACAGCCAAGTCCAGTGGGGATGGACCCTGGGTAATGGTCAGGCGCGGGCAGAGAAAGAGGGGCCCAAGGAGCTGTCGACCCCTGGTTGCGATCAGGAGCTGAACGTGCCCGAGGAAGGGCCTGGACCCAGGGCAGCCGGTGAGGGACGAACACCACGTGAGTCCGGGGCCTGCGGGTGAGGGACGAACACCACGTGAGTCTCGGGCCTGTATTTTGATTCCAGCGTCCCTTTCCGAGGGGCAGCTCCTTCTTTTCATTCCTTGGCTTCCCAGTCTCTGAAATGGGGTTAACCATGACGGCTGCCCTGGGCCTGGCTGCAGGCCTGGGAGGAAAGTCTTGTTCATGAGTGTCTGGTGAGCACGTCCACGTCAGCCGAGGGCATGTTTACCTGGAAGCACATTCCTTCTCCTCAACCCACTCACTGCACAGTCAGAAAATCCCAGGACCAAAGAAAGGGCTGAAGGTTTTCACAGGCCACTGGCACTGAGCTCTGGGCAAATGTAGAAATTGAGCCGAGAGGAGGAGCAGGACTGGGTCTCCTGCCTGGAAGCCCTGGTTTGCCCTGCTGCACTTTCCCTGCTTCTAAGCCCAGAGCCCAGCAACTGCTGATCAGTCCACGTGCATTGGACCCTGCGAGGCTGGGCCTCCAGTCCAGGTGCATTGGACCTTGCGAGGCTGGGCCTTGGGTGAAGGGTGGCTTTGCCAGGGGCACTGTGAGGTTACTCGGTCAGTGCGCCTGACCCCTCAAAGTGTTGTCTGTGACCAGCCCCGACCAATTCAAGGGTGGCAGGGAGAACACCCCTGCATTGCGGCTGGACTTCAGCCCAGCAGGTAGGGGAGGCGACAGGTACACAGACATCCCCCCGGGAGGTTGGGGCAAAGTGCTGCGGGTGCAGGAGGGCAGTTGTGGCCCGCGGGAGGGCAGAGCTGCTTTAGGGGGCTGCTTGCATCTGGATGGCCTGAGAAGGGTGCGGTAAGGGGGTCCTGGGAGGAGAGGATGCAGCGTGGGGAGGCCCAGAGAGGGAGGCTGGGTGGGACGGCAGCAGGGTGGTTTTGGGAGCGGGATCTTCCTGCCCTCAGTCCCCCTGGCCATTGCAGGCTTCACTTCCACCAGTGGCCTCTTGTGGGACCCAAATTCATTTCCACTATAGACACGGGGCCAGACTTGCTGGTAACCCAGGTTCCTGTCTCTGGGCTCCCCTCCAAGAAGCCTGCAAGGGCAGGGCACCCCTGTCCTTTTCTCCCCCTTCCTTCTCTGGGGCAGCCATGCTCTCCTCCCAGGACGCAGCCCCACCCAGGGCACCCTGCAGCTAAGCTTGATGCCTGGACCTGCTCTGGCCTGGAGGGGACACACATCAATCCCTGCAGATGGGTTGGCTCCCACAGAACAGGTTTCCCTTGGAAAGAGCTCCTGAGAGGCGGGGAGCGGCCAACCCTCCCCTGGAACTACACTGAGGACCCTCCTGTCGAGGGGACTGAGCCTGTGGGGTCAGCAGGAGTGGAGCATAGGCACTGGGCTGCTGTCGGGCCAGAGGGAGGAGGCGGCTCTCCCAGGCTCACTGCTCTGCTGAGTCAAAGCCAGTGCCCTTCCTGTCTCTGCCAGGCCCATGTGTCCAATGGCAAGTGCAGAGGAGAGCAAGTGCCGGGGGGAGAGCACACCGTCTGGCAAGCCCTGTCCTCCACAGACGGCCCTATGGTCCTGCATGGCACCTGCCTCCTTTTCTCTCTGACCACAAACCCACATCTCTCTTGCTTTCCTGGCCCATGTCGGACCCCAGGGCTGTCGTCTCCTTGCTTGGCACTGTGACCCCAGAGCCATCGTCTCCTTGCTTGGCACCATCCGGGTATGAAGAGGCACGGCACGGAGGTGTTGCTTCCTGAAAGCCTCTGAGTGGCCACCAACTTACTGGACGGGCCACTGACCAGGCACCCGCAGCTCCTGGTGGGAGGTGGGGTCTCAAGAGGGTGGAACTCACAATGTGGGGGAAGACTGGTCCCTCGCCTTTGTAGGGTGCCTTGCAGGCTACAGGCACTTTCCCATTTGCTTCTTACAGCAGCCCCATAGCAGGAAGAGGTAGGGATTCCTAACCTCCTGTACAGTGGATGCAACCAGAGCTCCTAAGCCGAGGGCCTTCTTGTCTCCAGCTCTCCCTGGGATGGGCCCTACTCGGGAGCCTGAGGTGGGAGGATTGTTGGAGCCTGGGAGGCACAGGTTGCAGTGAGCCAAGATTGTGCCACTGCACTCCAGCTGGGGTGACAGAGCAAGACACTGTATCAAAAAAAAAAAAAAGGAAAAATAAAAATAAATAGGAAATACTTAACAAAACAAAGATCCTTTACAAATGTTTTATCCAGTTTCTCATACACACATACACACAAACACACACAATGGCCATATCATTCAGCCTTTTTCATCTTTTCACCCCCTTTTCTGCGTATTGGTATATCTGCAACCCATATTAATATCCTAGATTTTTGTTTATAGATGTATAATCCTGTTATTAGTTGTAATACATGACACATTGCCAGATTACTTAGAACAAAGCTGTCACATTTGACCTTTTCACCGGCAATGTGGAATGATAAAAATTTCTTCACATCTTCTCTAGCAGTAGGTATTTTAATGAATTCAATGTTTGCCAGCTAGATTGGGCATGAAATGACGCCTCATTATTATTTTAATTTGTACTTCCTCCTCTACGGCTGAATTTATCATCTTTACTGTTTGTTGGCCATTTGAATTTGCTCTCCTGTGAACTGGCTACTTACATCCTTGGCTTATTTTTCTATTGTTTTTGTTGTAGTTTTAACAATTTTAGAGCTCTTTATATATAAAATCATTTGTATAATTTTCATTTCCTCCAAGATCTATCATTTTGCTTTATCTAGATATAGTCTTTTTTTGCTGCTCACACAGAAGTTTTTATCTTTTTTATAGGTAGTCAAATACATCTACCTTTTCTTTGAGAACTTCTGGGTTTCCAGGATTATTTAAATAGATTTCCCTCTCGCCTCTCACTTTGCACATCCATCTACTTGCATTTAGTTGTTTGGGTCTAAACTTCCCCAAAGGGTTTTTGTACATATGTGTTATAGCAATGAACAGGATCATGATAATCCCTGATCCTGTCCAGTGTTCAGGCTCACGGCCATCTTCACGCTTCAAAATATGGTCCTGAATCCTGAAATACATCGGCAGTCCGGAGCACCACCCTCAGAACCACTGCTCTATTACTGATTTTAGACGAAAGCTGCTGATATTTTTTCCTGACAACTGAGTTATGCCTTAAGTTCTGCCAAAACTAGCTGTGAAATGAAGAGGAGCTCAGAACATACTGAGAAGACCCATGGGAGAGGGAGAGGGGCCGCCTACCCCACGACGGCAGGTGGGAAGGTCCACCTGGGAAATCACCACGAACCAGGACCGTCTCACGCATGGCAGACCCCACACAAACCTCTGCGCAGTGAATGGAGGGTCCTAATGTATCATTTTAAACCACTGGGATTATGCTCCATCTAATTTGTTTAAAATGATGGGGAACAAAACATGTAATCCACCTTAGATTTCCATCCAATACGGTCCGAGTTGAAATGTTTCAGTTCTTGGATAAGTACCTCTCTCAAGACACTTCTCCAGGAGGTGCTGGATAATCAGGGATGGGAGATGGGGACCGATAAACAGGCTCCGGGTCTGGGACACAGAGCCAGGTGTGTCCTGCCAGGTTCCCAGGTGTGTCATTGATGGGTAAGAGTCTGGGGGAGGACCGCTTTTGCCAACTAGCCCAGCAAGTCTAGACAGATTGTGGGCACTGGGTAAATAGCAACCCACACCAGCCCCAGAGCCTCTCCTCACCCGAGAACGCACAAGCATCCTCTCCAGGAGAGGGAGTCGGGGGGCCTCTGCCCTTTGTCCAGGGAACCCCCTGGCGTGACTTCAGGTTGTTGTCGCCCAAGAATCACACCATTGATTGGACAGGAATCTAGACTGGAACAGAGCTCTCCACCTTCCGAGTCCTCACCCTGTGATGGTTTCCTGTAGAATTATAAGCCTCTGTCAAGCGTGTTCCACACACGTGGAGCACGTGGGGGACCCCAGGAGTGCAGTGGACAGCAAGGTCGATGCTGTCCATGGCATCAGTGAAATCAGGCATTTCTTTACTCAGCTGAAGCCCTGAGAACTTAGAATTGCCACCCAGGTCTGCAGTGAGGATACTTCTGCTTTGCCCAGGAAGCAGCCTGGCATGTCACCCAGCAGAGAGCTGGCGCAGGCAGGGGGTGCAGGAGCTAGCAGGGGCTCTGCCTACTGAGTGCTTGCTCTCACCAGGTGCTGGGCGGAGGCTTTCCTGCAGGGCTTTGCCCCTCTCAAGTCTCCTATAAGGCAGGTGCTAGTACCATATTCTTCACCAGAGAGGCATGCAGCGTTTAGGGGTGAAACAGCTCACCCAGGCCACACAGGGAGCAAAGTGCAGAAGCCAGGAGCTCACCCCCAGTGATCTTACCACACGCTGTTGGGAAGACGTTGTGTGGTGTGTAGGGAAGGTGTGTGGTGTGTAGGGGAGGTGCGTGGTGTGTAGGGGAGGTGCGTGGTGTGTAGGGGAGGAAGGTGTGTGGTGTGTAGGGGAGGAAGGTGCGCGGTGTGCAGGGGAGGTGTGTGGTGTGTAGGGGAGGTGTGTGGTGTGTAGGGGAGGTGCGCGGTGTGCAGGGGAGGTGTGTGGTGTGTAGGGGAGGTGTGTGGTGTGCAGGGAAGGTGGATAGTGTCTAGGAGTACCCAGGAAAGGGGGCTCGGAGCCAGCTGCCTGTGCAACCAGCACAATCGCTCATCATTTCTATTTCTCATTGCTGAGGATAATCGCAAGGGAGATGAGCTCTGTGAAGCTGGGTCCCCCGTGTTCTCTTCCACAGATCACACCCTCCACACAGGCCCTTCTCATTTCCCTGGGGCTGCCCTGTCCTCAGAGAAGGTCAGGGCTGTGCCAACACTGCAGAGACAGCACAGGTGCCAGGTGAGATCAGTTTCTGCAAACACAGAAGTGTGAGGAGTTTCTGTGCTGGTTGAGGCTCCAAGGCCTGTTTGACTGGTTTCTCCACTCTGAGGAGCCAAAGTGTAGTGGAAGTGCCAGAGTGTGTTTTTGTTCCCGGGGTGAGTCTGGTGTGAAAGCTAGAGCTGGCCTTGCCTGAACAGGACAGCCACCCTACACCCTGCATATCTTCTCCCAACACACACACACATACATGCATGCACACTTGCACACACATGCAAACTTGTGCTCACATGCACACACAAACTCAAACCCACACACACATACATGCATGCACACTTGCACACACATGCAAACTTGTGCTCACATGCACACACAAACTCAAACCCACACACACATGCACACACAAATAGACATATACATACACACACAAAAACACATGTGCACACAGCTAATGCACAAGGCAGTCCCATGACTGATGATAACTCTCCCCTTCCTGCCTCTGGGGACCTGTCCAGCCACCTTGGAGAGGTTTTCATCCTTTCTATAGCAAGTTGCAGACGTCTTCAGTCCTCCTCAATGAAGGAGACTCCCTTTCTCCTCCAGGGTGGCAGGGAGAGTTGGCGTCTCCATGAGGGGCTCAGCTGACAGGCGCGGGAGAGGGGAGGAGAGCCCACCTCCAGCACTCAATCACAAAGCTGCCATCTCCCTGCAAACCCCCCCACTTCCCTCTTCTGTGCTGATCACGACCTTCTCTTTCTCACCTGGTCCCTGGATCCTTCTCTGCAAACTTCAGCCTGTCCCTCTGCTGCAGTTCTTCCCAGCCTTCTGCACCTCCCTTAGGCCCCTCGCACACAGCTCCGGGGGCAGCCACCACATTAGGGCTAGCTGGGGTATCTTCCTTCCTCTCACTTCCCTGCTGGGTTTGCTTCGCACATGGCCCCTGGGTCGGGGGAGCTCAGCTGTGGGATGTGGAGCCAGCGGCTGGGCACCCCAGCTTCAGGCTCCTTATGGAGTGGAGGACGGGTGATGCCCTTGGCCCCTGCATCACACAGGGATACACGCAGAAGGCGTCGCCTGAGAATGCACCTTAGCTAGAAAGAAGGGTTTCTCCCTCCTCAAAGCCAGGCTCTGCACCCAACTGCCGTGCTAAACCAGCCAAGGCAGAGGGGCTTGACCAAGCTTGCCTAGATTTGACAACAAATGCCATCTTGTCCCTCTTCGGGAGCCCCCATTTGGGCTGTGCCAGGCCGTCTGTGGTGCGGGTCACTCAGGCATGGCCGTCCTTGGTGTCCCTAGTGCTGAACCCAGAGGAGGGGAGTGGAAACTTCACCCACAGAGGCTGAGCCAAGGCAGCTGACGGCTTGCATACTTGCAAGCCACTTGTGGTGGGAGGCTGAGGGGAGGATGAAAAAAACAATCTCAGTGCTTGTACATGCCCTGAAAAGAGAATGTGTTAGGGAGGAAATGACCCCGGATGGGGAAACACGCAGCGGGAAGTCAGGGGACTTTCCCTATGGACACGGCCTCTCTCCATCTAGAAAACGCACATCGTGAGAATAGTGACCATCATCCTGTCTCGTGATGAGACAGCCTGAGGCTTTTTCTAAATAGGTGCTTCTGCTCTGCATGGAACTGCCTCTGTCTGGAGCTGACACTGAAAAGTCAGCTAATGCTCTGAGCCTTGGCATGTTGGACTTAACTAAACCTCGAGGTGGACGCATTTAATTTTTCCGTTCAATCAAAAGAGGTATAATCACAAAATTGTGAGATTCCCCTTCAAGTAGATGTTTTCCCGAGTGTTGGTTTACATCAAACATGAATCAGCTCGTTATTAACATGAGGTTTATCATAGAATAATAACACCTGCTGCTGGCTCTGTACTTAATATTCTGATCCTACACGCTCCGATCAGATATGGTGGGTGCATCATCCTAGTTTATAGATGTGGATATTGAGACACACGTTTCCACATCACTGACAAAACTGGAACCGGGAGCTCAAGTCTCCTAATATTGTTTGCAAAGTAGTATTTAATACCTGGGGAAAATGACATGAAATAATTATTAAGCCTTTGGATTTTAATCACAGGTCCCATCAACAAGATCAGAAGGAAAGGAAATTTCAACTATAGATTTAAATCTTCAGGTATTCTTTAAGGAAATAAAACAAGGAGCTGGGCTGAATCCAGCTATTCAGAGTCCCGCCCTCCCTGGGCCCCTCACCAGGCAGGATGCTTCTCTGTTCTCATCTCCTGGCCAGAACCACGTTCTCCACCCCAAACCGGTTGTCAATTTCATTGAGAAATTGGTTGCTCAATATTTATTGAGGCCTCTGTATTATTCCACCACTGAGGTGAGCTAGAAAATCTTCAAGCTATCTTTATAAAATGAGTTAGACAACTGGGACACTGCTCTCTGCATCTCTCTGTCTATGCTGGGTCCCCCTGAACTCCGGTGGGGTGACCCCCTTCCTTCCCTCTCCCTGCTGACCATGACCTTCCCTTTTGTACCTGGTCCACGGAGCTCCCTCTCTGCAGACCTCAGCCTCTCCCTCTGCTGTGGTGCTTCCGAGCCCTTTGCACCTCCCTCTGGCCCCTCACATGCAGCTCAGGGAGCAGCTGCCACACTAGGGCTGGCTGGGGCATCTTCCCTCCTCTCACTGCTCTGCCTGGTTTGCCCCTTGTGTGGTCCTGGGGGACTGAGCTGTGGGTCATGGAGTGCGTGGTTGGGCACCCCAGCCTCCGGCTTCCCTTGGAGAATGTGTGCAGCACCAAGGGGCTGGGAGGTGTTTGTCTGGCTGCACTTTAGGGAAGGAGAGGGCACTTGGTCTATTTGATGGGCTGAACAGGAGGGAGGTGGAATGTATAAACTTTCCCAGGGGAATAAAGGAGTTTGTTCCCTGTGTACGGGCAGGGGCTGGGGAGAAGAATGGGAATCTATGGAGATCAGAGGGGACTTGCTTGGGAAAGGCATTTTGGGGACTCCAAGGCAAATGTCCCCTCACAACTGTAGATCACATCAGTGGAAGGACTTGGGGATGGTCCCCCGAAAGCTTAGCTGTTGCTCTAAAAGTTGGTCAAGGCAAGTGGCCCTGGGGGTTTCCTTCCAGAGAACAGATCAGATTGAGGACCCCAGTAGGCTCCCAGATGGGTCTCTGTGCTTAGGGCTGATGCTTAGTAAAACCACAAGGAGGGCCAAGTTTGATGGCAGCCACCTGTTCTGCATCCTCCTGCACCTCTGCCTGCACCTTTGGGGTATGCTGGGCACTGAGGTCCCCCGTGTCTCGCTGCAGCAAAACTCCAGCTGTAACTGTTTGACGCCCTGTGAATGGAACGCCTGCCACTGAGCTCCCAGGGTGTCTGCACAGGGAACCTTGGACTTGGCGATGGAATTGAATTGTAGGAATCCCTGAGCTAGAAGGGAGTATTCTGGGGAGACAAAAAGTCTTTCCCTCTCCTCTGAAACTGCACGTCACATGTTCACTTGATAAACACCATCTCAGCACCAGCTATGGCTCTGAAGGCAGCCCTGGTCCCTTGCTTCCTTGAAGTTATAGGCAGTGAGCCCCATCCTCTGTCTCTAGACCCTGGCCTGGGAATCTCATGATACCCACAGTTGTGCCCTGGCAGAATCAACACTACCACCCACTTCCCTTCCACCAGCCCCAGCCTCAGGGCAAGAGCTAGGCAGTAGCACTGGAGAGAGGGGTACGGAAACACCAAACACTGGGGCCTGCTGTGCCCTTGAGGGAGCCCTCTTCAAGCCACCTCCCCCTCCAGTCTCAGTCTTTGTGAAGTTGCAGAAGCTGTCTTGAACCCCTTGGCTTGGTCAGGATCTCCGAGAATCAGCTGCAGGGGAAACTATCCCTTGGGCAGAATGTTCCTGGAGGGAGGTGGTTGCTATCAAGGCCAGGCGGGGTTGGCAGGCTAGCCATCCGATACCCCGACCCCATGGCAGTTCCCACCTGGCACCTGACAGCTCTCCCAACTCCCATTCCTGCATTTCCTGTCTGCAGCTGATCTGGCCCTCCCTGGGAGGAGGCTCTCACCCCAGGGCATTTGGAGGGTGGGGAGCCTCCCTCCTCCCTTTGTTCCGATTGCAGAAAAGGAGGGGGTTCCCATGCCAAGGCAGAACTGTCTGGGACAGACGCTGCCCGGATCCCTGCGGCTGCCTGCACTCTGGACCACGAGCTCTGAGAGCAGCAGGTTGAGGGCCGGTGGGCAGCAGCTCGGAGGCTCCGCGAGGTGCAGGAGACGCAGGCATGGCCGGTGAGCTGACTCCTGAGGAGGAGGCCCAGTACAAAAAGGCTTTCTCCGCGGTTGACACGGATGGAAACGGCACCATCAATGCCCAGGAGCTGGGCGCGGCGCTGAAGGCCACGGGCAAGAACCTCTCGGAGGCCCAGCTAAGGAAACTCATCTCCGAGGTTGACAGCGACGGCGACGGCGAAATCAGCTTCCAGGAGTTCCTGACGGCGGCGAAGAAGGCCAGGGCCGGCCTGGAGGACCTGCAGGTCGCCTTCCGCGCCTTCGACCAGGATGGCGACGGCCACATCACCGTGGACGAGCTCAGGCGGGCCATGGCGGGGCTGGGGCAGCCGCTGCCGCAGGAGGAGCTGGACGCCATGATCCGCGAGGCCGACGTGGACCAGGACGGGCGGGTGAACTACGAGGAGTTCGCGAGGATGCTCGCCCAGGAGTGAGGCTCCCCGCCTGTGTCCCCCTGGCTGCGCTCTGAGCCTTCAGGGCCACCGCCCGCTGCTGCTTTTGTGCTGGGACTCTCCGGGGAAACCTGGTCGGTGGATGGGAAACTGCCTCCCCCTGGGAGGAAGGCTTTGCGCTCCGGGGCCTGGATGCGGCGCCCTCGGGCCGCCTGCGAGCCCCTCTCTGCCTCCAGACCTTGGGCAGAAGGAGGCCTCCTTGGGCCTGGTCCCCCTTTGCCCTGCAGTGGAATGAGGGCCCCTCAGCCCCGCATTGATCTAAATAAAGGACTGCCGAGTTCCATGTGTGCTTGGTGTTTGTGGGGCGGCTGCCTCCGAGGGCCCCCACCTGCTTCCAGGGTTCCTTCCAGCCCACCCCTCTCACCTGCGGTGGCAGAACTGCCTGGAGCAGGCCCCAGGGGCAGCTCCTGCCTCCCCTGACGCGGAGCAGAGGGCAGGTGGGCAGAGGATGTGTGAGGATGGTGCTGGGCGGTGTCTGTGGCTCCAGGTTCTGCCTGAGCTGCTGGTGAGGACCTGGGCACGTGTCCCGCACAAACAGGAGCGGGCGCCTCGCATGGACAGACGGAGCCCAGCTGCCAGCCTCTGCACGCAGCCTGCCTCTCTTCGGCTGCAAATAATATACGTGTACGTCTGTGTGTGCATCTGTGTGTGTGTCTGTGTGTCTGTATGCGTGTCTCTGTATGTGTGCATCTGTGTGTAAGTCTCTGTATGTTTGTGTGTCTGTGTGTCCTTGTGTGCATCTGCATGTGTATGTGTGTATCTGTGTGTGTGTCTGAGTGTGTCTCTGTGTCTATGTGTCTGTGTGTGTCCATTTGTGTGTGTGTCTTATCTGTGTGTCTGTGTCTGTGTGTGGCTTTGTGTGTGTATCTGTGTGTGTGTGTCTCTGTGTCTATGTGTCTGTGTGTGTTTATCTGTGTGTGTCTGTGTCTGTGTGTGTGTCTGTGTATGTGTTTGTGTGTGTCTGTGTGCCTATCTGTGTGTGTGTGTCTCTGTGTCTATGTGTCTGTGTGTGTTTATCTGTGTGTGTCTGTGTGTGTCTGTGTATGTGTTTGTGTGTGTCTGTGTGCCTATCTGTGTGTCTGTGTGTCTGTGTGTTGTGTGTGTCTGTGTCTGTATATGTGTTTATGTCTGTGCATATGTGTCTGTGTCTGTGTATGTGTATATGTGTGTCTGTGTGTGGCTCTGTGTGTGTATCTGTGTGTCTAGGTATGTCTGTGTGTTCGTGTATGTGCCTGTGTATGTATCTGTGTGTATCTGTGTGTCTGTATATCTGTGTCTGTGTGTGTGTGTCTAGGTATGTCTTTGTCTGTGTGTCTATCTATCCGTGTGTCTGTGTGTCTATGTGTGTGTGTGTCTGTCTGTGTCTGTGTCTGTGTATCTGTGTGTCTGTCTGTGTCTATCTGTGGGTCTGCGTGAATGTCTGTGTCCATGTGTGTCTGTATGTGTCTGTGTGTCTGTGTGTCTTTGTGTGTGTCTGTGTGTGTGTCACTGTCTATGTGTGTGTGTCTGTCTGTATCCGTGAGTCTGTGTGTGTCTGTGTGTGCATGTATGTGTCTCTGTGTCTGTGTGTGTGTGTCTTTGTGTCTATGTGTCCGTGAGTCTGTGTGTGTCTGTGTGTGCATCTGTGCGTCTGTGTCTGTGTGTGTCTCTGTGTGTGTGTGTGTGTGCGTCTGTGTGGTTAGGGTTGGGGGAGGTGGGGAAAGGGCAGAGCAAGGGGGAGAAGGACGGGGCTGAGCAGGCAGGGCCCTCCACCCTGACAGGGCACAGCCCTGTATGGACTTGGGTTGTGTTGGTGCCGTGAGGTTTAGAAACGAGACCCAGGCTCGCTCATCACAGCCTGGCGTTCCCAGGGCTCCCTTTGTCCTGGGTCTCAGATGGTCGGACCCAGGCACCTTGCTTGGCAGATGTGGAAACTGAAGCCCCAGGTGGGTACAGGAGCAGCCCAGGCCAACTTATGGTAGCATTGGGTGAAATCGGGCTTTGGGGAGGTGGCGGCCCTGGCCTTGGAGTCAGGATTCGTCTCTTTCCCACCTGCCGTGCTCTCGGGCAGACCTGCGGGTGGGGGGGTGGGGCACACCTGTGGAGGAGTGAGGTGCGCCTGTCCACTTTATCTCGGCTTCAGCACAAAGCCTGGGGGGCCAGGGGTAGCCCGGGGCACTGAGGCGGGGCCTGGGCGTTTTCAGGAGTCACCATGATCTCTTGCGGTCACTCATTGCGACCTGTTCCTTCTTGCCCGGTGCTCAGAGCCTGGCCAGTGCCCTCCAGGCCCTTCCAGCCTCAGGGCTGGGGTCAGACCTTCCCTCCTCTGCCTGGGCTGTGGGCAGGGAGCACCTGGGGCTAGGGAGAGGAGAGGTGGACACCCCAGCCTCCTCCCTCAGGGCTCTGAACAGGAAGGGCTGCAGAGCGGGTGGAAGAGAGAAGATAAGGAGGTGAGAGGGTAACAGAGCAGAGGCAGCCTGAGACCTGCCTGCTCACCTGACTGAGCAGGAGGCCTGCGGCAAAGTCTATGCCCATCCTGGCTCTGCCCGGAGGTCCTCCAGGAAAGCCCCATCCTCTTAGGCACGCGGATCACAGAGGTCTGATTTCTGAAGTGATGAGTCCTCAGTGCTGAGCTGGTCAAGAAGAGGTTTTCCAGGGTCTGTGTAGGAAAATAAAATAAAATAACAAAAGAAAAATAAAGGCTTTGCGTTCACTTTTTAAATTCTGAGGATATGGTGCATTTTCACCACTGAATTCCTTTCTCTTAGGAAGCTACTGGAATCACAGGAGTTTTTTTTTTTTTTTGGTGTTTCTTTTCCTTCGTGTTCTTACTCTGCACAATGGAGAGTCTCACCATTACACAAATTTCTTTGGAAATGCTCCTGGTCCGGGAGGGTCCCAAAGTCTGAGAACAGCAGCTTAAATCTGTAGAGGGCAAAATCGATTTTCTTTTCTTTTAAAAAATACCTGATTTTGAAGACACATGCTGCTCATACATGGGGAAAATAAACTTCTAATTCAGGACTGACGCTTGCTCTGGAGCAGGCGGGAGGGGTTTGGGGAAGGCATCAGAGGGGCCTCAGCTGGTTCTGAAGGTTTCATTTCTTTAGCTGATGATGTTGATGGTTATGTGGGTGTCCTCTATGTTAGTCTCTATATTTTTATGTGTCTGAAATGTTTCATACTAAAAATAATATGGGCGCATCATGGAAGGTTAGAAATCACAGAGGAGCACACGGGGAAACTCGACCCTCCTGCATGAAGCTTTGCTGGATTTTCCCCTGTGGGAAGGCCCTGCCCCACTGGCCCTGACTCCACAGTCTGTTGACTGACTCAGGAGGAAAGGGCTTGAGTTTTCCATGGAGCTAGCATGGCACCTGACTGTCTCCATTTCTATAGTTGGGGGTTGGGACAGAATCTGGAAGGGCTGAAGAAAAACCAAAACCAAAAAGAAAAAAATAAACAAGGCATTTTTTTTTCTTTTTTTTTCGAGATGGAATCTCGCTCTGTCACCCAGGCTGGAGTGCCGTGGTGTGATCTCAGCTCACTGCAACCTCTGTCTCCCAGGTTCAAGTGATTCTCCTGCCTCAGCCTCCCGAGTAGCTGGGATTATAGGCGTGCGCCACCATGCCCAGCAATTTTTCTTGTATTTTTTAGTAGAGACAGGGTTTCGCCATGTTGGATAGGCTGGTCTCGAACTCCTGACCTCAGGTGATCCACTCGCCTCGGCCTCCCAAAGTGCCAGAATTACAGGCATGAGCCACCACACCTGGCCAAAGAAGACATTTTCTACAGTAGCGTTACCAACTCTAGGGTCAGCATATACATCCAGATTTGTGATGATGGTTAGATCTGGGCTCTCCTTGCAACCGTGGACCAAGGTCCAACCTTTGAGAAGAAAATGCACTGAAATGGAAGTTCCTGGGTCCCAGGAAGGAAGGCCCTGGCCCACCCTCAGAAACACGGTCCTGTTGCCGTCTCTGCAGGCTATGGAGGCATCCGCTAGCTCTTCCATCCCCCTCTCTATCCACTCACTTAGAAACGGAATCAGCTCCACGTGTAAGGGAGTAGGTGAGAGAAAGCAGCTCAGGCTGATTTGCTGCTGGGGGAGTAGCCAGGAGACCAGGCCTGCAGACCTGTGGTGTGGACCACACTTCTGTTCCTTTTTCTGCAGGCAATAGGGGAGCTCCCCCGTGGGCTAAGAGCTCAGGCAATGGGGTGGGCACCATCCTGACTGGCTGGGGTGTAAGGGGTCTTGGAATGCTGGGCTTGCAATGTTAGAACCGGGACAGTGGAGGGCACCAGGGCTGAGCTGATCGACCCAGATGAGGATGAGGGAATGGTGCCCGGTGGCTAAAAACCTGTCCAGAAACTCACACACTTCGAGGGAAATGGGAGTCAGGGCCCCAAAAGCCTTGGTCTGACTATTTTTTTTTTTTTGAGACGGAGTCTGGCTCTGTCACCCAAGGCTGGAATACAGCTGTGCGATCTCAGCTCACTTCAACCTCAGCCTCCTGGGTTCAAGCGATTCTCCTGCCTCAGCCTCCCAAGTAGCTGGGATTACAGGCGTGCACCATGCTGGCTTATTTTTGCATTTTAGTAAAGACGGGCTTTCTCCGTGTTGGACAGGCTGGTCTTGAACTCCTGACCTCAGGTGACCTGCCTCCCAAAGTGCTGGGATTACAGGCAGGGCGAGCCATCTGATTGACTTTTATTGGGGGATCTTTTAATGGGGCAAGGAGGAGGGTTGTAGAGGAAAGGGCAACCTTCCCTGCAGAAAAGTCCCAGGAATTGCCCAGGATGCCAGACTGAAGAAGGATCAGCCTGGTATTGAAGGAGGGCCCAGGAGACTAAAGAAGGATTGAAGGAGGGCCTGGGGAACTGAATAAGGATCAGCCTGGTACTGAAGGAGGGCCCAGGAGACTAAAGGAGGATCAGCCTGGTATTGAAGGAGGGCCCGGGGAACTGAAGAAGGATCAGCCTGGCATTGAAGGAGGGCCCAGGAGACTAAAGAAGGATCAGCCTGGCATCCTGTGCAATCCCTGGGGCCTTTTCTGCAGGGAAGGTCATCCTCTAACCCTGGGCCGTTTGCACATTCCTCACTGACAATATTTACCTTTCTCTAGGTAAACAGCAGTTTCTCAATTTTTCTTCTCCTTCAGACCCAGCCTGGAGCCCCTCAGGGCCTGCAGGGCAGTTCCTAATTCCTGTACCTCCAGGGTGTAGGCTGCTGCACACAGAACGTATGATTTGCTTTGAATAAACAGGGCCACTCCTCCCTCAGTGAATGTTTGCTGGAGGAGGGACCCCCTTGGCCTCCCTGGACTCCCCTGGAGTCTTAGCAAAGACAAGAAGTCTGAAGATGAGAGGAGGGGGCAGGAGGGAGGTCGTCAAGCAGGGAGAAAGTTCTAGAGGGAGCTTCGCCAGTCTCCTGAAGATGAGAGGTCATCGAGCAGGGAGAAAGTTCAAGAGGGAGCTTCGCCAGTCTCCTGTGCGGTGGGCGTTTCTAAGGTGAGTAGAGACCACTCACCTGCTGTTTCTGGGAATTCTGCCTGACAGCAGGAATTCGCTGTGCCTCTTGGAAGCACCCATGGGTGTATGTCTCCCACCACATTCCTGCTTAGCTTCCAGGGATGTGCCGACATTCCACACCCCCGCCCTGGGCTCTGGCTGCCCAGAACCCTCTCTCCCACCTCAGGTGTCTGCTCTCCCTGCCTTCCTGGTTTCCTGGAATCCATTTCTCCAGCTCTCCATGGAACCAAATCCTGCAAATCAGCCAACCCCCACCTCTCCCTCTTCTTGGGCAGGATCCCTGACCCAGCCATGGGTCTGATCCTTCCCGGCTCTGCATGGAGGCAGCACCAATATCAGCGCACAGTTTGGGCAGGCACAGGGGGACAGGAGAGGGTCAGGCCTGGGGAGTATCTGTCGGCCAGTCCCTCCCCAGGCCATATCAGGAGGGTATGGAGTGGACGGGAGTCAGGCATGTGCACTGAGGAAGAGACACTCACTCACACCCACTCCACACACACACCAAGAGCCGCTGGCTTGCGCTGAAGCTTCCTTGTCAGGGGGTCCTTGACTTCTTGGTCGAGCCCACCAGAACAGCTTCTAAAGAATGATGGGCTCTGGTCTTGCTTAGAGGGATGCCATAGTGGGGGTGCTTCAGGCAGCAGGGATTCCAGGTGGTGGGAGCAAAGGGGAAAGGTGAACCCTGGAGTCTCCTGCAGTGGCCAGGCCAAGCCCAGACCCTCCTCCTGGGCCACCATCAGCCTTTCTACCTAGGACTGGTATTGAAGGAGGGCCCGGGGGCAGCTGCTCACAGGCTGGGGCACATTCTCTCAGGCAGTGAAGGGTCAGAGGCCTCACTGGTCTGGTCAGGCCCCAGGCCCCCGTGAGTGTGGAGTCAAGACTCCTGGGCTCCAGGCCTGAAGCTTGGGACGTGCTCTGCTGGGTGGTTTTAGGTCAGCTGCCTCCCCTGTCTGGGCTCAGCTGTGCCTTGTGTAAGGTGGGGAGGCGAGGAGCAAGAGAAACATAGTTCTTGGGAAGGAAAAGGTCACACTGGTCATCAGGAAGGCACTTCAGAATTGTCAGTCCAATGCTCACCTACACAAGCATAGACAGCAGGATAAAATGGAAACAATTTTCTAAGCAAAGACCATGTGTAAATATTTTGGAACATACCCTGCCTTTTTTTTTTTTTCCTTTTCTATCCACTCACATACTTCTATTTCTACATACTTTTCCTTCCCAGAAATGGCATCATGCAGATGACTCTGTAACCATTCTCTATCTAATGCTGTATTGTGGACACCTTTCCTTGTGAAAATAATGGAGACCCACGCCATTGCTTTTAGTGGCTGATCATATTCCATTCAATGGTTGTGTCACCCCTGGAGCCTCCAGAATGAGATGGAGAAGGAATTAAATCCCAGATCCGCTGTCCATGTGGCCTTGAGCAAATACCTTGACTTCTCTGAGTCTCGGTTTTCTTACCTGGAAAATGAGATCAATAATAATACCTGGGCTACTGGGTGCTGTGACACTAGCACTGGGTACACTGCCTGTGGAAGGTACTAGAAAGCACTCAGAGCCCACTGAAGAGCCCAGGCTTCTGGAGCGTGCTGCTGTGAGCATGTCCCAAGGTGGCCTTTGCCTGTGGAGTCCACACGTGGCCCAGTGCAGCCCCTGCCACGTAGCAGGTGCTCAGTGCTCACAGCAGGTGTGACTCATGAGTCCCCAGCCACACACACTGCCCCGGGTATGAGGGTCTAAGTGAAGAACAGTGAAGGAGAGACAGGATCCCCGGCCTGAGTTCGGCGATTCTGTCCCTCTCAGAACATCCATCATGTCATGGGAATACAGTCTGGAATCCCAGAGCCAAGGCCTGCTCCAGGCTTGTGGCCGACTTGGCATCAGGGAGTCTGGGTGCCCATGCCAGGGCTGTGGCCTTGGCAGTTGGACCCAGGGAGGGGGGCAGGGGTGAGCCCCCTACAAAGAGGGCTGTGGCAGGAAGCTCTGTGCTGATTTGGAGGTCTGGGGAATGGGCAATCAGAGAAGCATTAAGGAAGGAGAGAAGTGAAGCCACTCAGACAGCCTAGGGAGGCAGAAGACCTGTCTGGGGCAGACAGAATAACAGAGACAGGGTGTTCTAAGCCAGTTGTTCATTGTTGTTGAGCCCATTCTTAAGAAGGGCTTTGATGGGGCCACAAAGCAATAAGAAAGCAGCAGATTCTCTGAATCTACTGTCCCAAGAGACGAAGAAGGGAACTTGAGGGACTGGAGAGGAAGTGGCTCACTTCAGGTCTTAGAGCGAGGTGCTAAGAAGGACCTGGAGTGGAATTCAAGGGCTCAGAAGGGGGTCAGGGGACTGCCTTCAAGGGGTGCTTCCTGGGCATACTCTGCCCAGGGACTGGTTTTGAGGTGGGGGTCTGGTGGTGGGGTTGGTTGGGACCCACATAGTGGAATGTCTTCCGGAAGCTGGTGACTGTGAGTTACGAGAGATGCACAGACATGGCCTCTCTGCCGACTCTGAATGGCCTTGAAGACCCTCAAGGGCAGAGACCAGGCTATGCTCCACGTCTGGGTCCACAAGGGTGCCCGGTCTCAGCTCAGAACACCAAAGAGAGTAGACAGAGCCCAGGAAGCATCCGAGCAGCTGGCGCAGCTTCAGGTCACTTAGGAAAACCCAGTTCTTTGAAAGCTGCTTCTCTGAAAATTGACTTGCCAGAAGCTTAGTTCTGCAAATGGTAAACGTGCTGGTATTTCCCAACTTACTAAAAAGTTTTTTTTAAAGGATACTTAATAAAGATCACAGAAATTCATATTGGATGAGCTATTCTAAGTTGTTGACTATTTCTTTGACGTTTTATTTACTGAGTTTAAATTTTTAGTTTTGTTCAGTTCTACTTTTAGTAAATTATTTTAGCGGCAGTCAGTTCACCTAACCATTGTACCATAACCTGACAGTGTTTAAAGTTGTCTGTTTTTGTTTTGTTGTTTCATTTTTAGCATTTTGGTTCAATGGTTTTGGAGAAAGAGAGCTTCTGGTTCATTTCAAGATTCAGCCATTGGACACGTCTTCAACGTCCAGGATTTTAGAGATTGGCAGCTTTCTTTCCCCTAATAGAATTTCAACTTAAATCTATTGCTTTAGTACTTCTTTCAATTCACTGATTTATTCACTGGCTCAATCAAATGGATATTTTGCAAGTGGTTTAAGTATTTGGTAAGTGCTTGGAGTCTGAAATATGAATCACACATGAAACTGACATTCAGCAGGGGAGAACTGCACTCATGAAGCTACTGGAGTTGACTTGGGTGGGACAGCATTGGGGAAACCAAAACTAATTTCAAGTAAAGCAAAACTTCCCCCAAATCTTCCAAGAGGTTCTTCAGTAGATTGATTTGTCGGTAGATTGAATTACTCTACTTCTGATCCAAATACATGTTTCAAATTTCATATACGAAATAATACATTTTCTTCATTGGATTGCCCCCTGGATCTTTTAAATCCTAGTTTATATCCATCCTGGTAGGCCTGGTGACCCAATCCTTCTGTTAAGTTCCACATCAAATGCCTCCTGCTTTTGGAAGCTTTCCACAGCCGGGCCTGGCGCAGAGGGGGTTCCTCTGCACCTCTTTTCCAAGCAAATGGCTGAAGGTGATCTCTCCCTATTTGTACAGTTCCTTCCAGAGTGCACCTCTTACGTCATTCCTAGTGGACAAGGCCTATTCTCCATCCTCAGAACCCTGAATAGTGAAATAAAGCCCATCAATGCTTAAACTAGATGACAGGCTCCTCAAGTGTGTTGGATTCTGCATGAAACCCTCCACATGCACTGTGATGGCACGACCTGGCAGGCTCCTTTGCCCGGGAGGCCTCATCTCCAGCATGGGGGAGATGGCTTCCGTAGTGCTGATGGGATTAAAGGAAATCTTCACAGAGTTGTACTCTGCAACAAGAGGAAGAGTCAGAAATGCAACTGCAGAGAGAGGACTCCTGTCTTGTTCTCTCTTTTTGTTGTCCAAGAACCATGAAAATAGTCCTCGTATGATCACAAAATCCCAACTCATCCCCTCTTGGTCCAAACATAGGGAGAATCAAAGGCATGTCACCCTGCCAGGTAGTCAAAGATGTGGACTCCAGACCTCTAAGACCAGCTTTTAAGAGTTCAAGCCATTGTTTCTCTCTCCACAGTGGGTCCCCCTTTTATAAAAACAACAACAACAAAACTCATCAAGAACAGATTCCCAACAGGTATGGTGATCATGTGTTCCAGAAACAATTTAGGTAGAGTATTCTATCTCAGTTTCTCTGGAAATGAGTCCAGCTTTTAGTTTTTGCATGTGAACCACGGCCGCAGTGCCTAGGCTGCGCAGGTCGCCCTCCGTTCCCGCTGGAGAAGCAGGTGAGGCCTTCCCAGCCTGGGCCCAGTGCAGTCAGGCCCTGCCCAGCCCACAGATGCCTGCACCTTGCTCCTCCCCTGGCTTCCCTCTCACGTGGCTGCAGCTGGGGCAAAGGCCCAACGACTCCTTCTGTAAGCTTCTTCTTGCTTTTGCACTGTTTACCATCTCCAGGTGTGAGCTCATCTCTTTCCCCACCACAGGTGGCCCCACCCGATCTCAGCTCTGCCTTTCCCGCCTCTCTGCTGGGTTGCATAAGCCAGCGATTCCCAACCCCGGCTGCACCTGGAAGCTACCCCAGGAGCTTCTGGAGAATGTGCCGTGTGAGCCATCCCCCTGCACTGAGCCCTGGTGGGTCAGCGGTGGGGGCGCCCAGGCGTGGGGGTCTATTTAAAGCTCCCAGGTGCTGTGCGGCCAAGATTAAGAGGCACTGCTCCAAACTGTCCTGGCAACTCTGACTGTACCCGGCACTCCCCACGCCCAACCTCCCTTCTGCCCCTGGGCAGGTTGGCATCCAGTGTCGGGGAGAACCCTGGAGGCGAACGCCAGCCTTATAGAGCCCCACTGTTGGGAGGCCTGCAGGTTGGACAAGGCGAGGTCTGAGTCACCTTGGTTGGGAGCAGATGCTGCCCTGTTGGTGGCCTGCCAGCCTCTGTCCCCACCCCACCACTCAGAGACATGGTGTGCCTGCACTTTCCTGATCCGGGAGCTCCTGCCTTGCTGCCCAGATGACCTTTGGCCTAGGAAGAAGTCAAATCTCAGTGTTTTGGACCGGGCACGGTGACTCACAACTGGAATCCCAGCACTTTGGAAACCCGAGGTAGGTGGATCACTTGAGGCCAGGAGTTCGAGACTAACCTGGCCAACATGGTGAAACCCCATCTTCACTAAAAATACAAAAATTAAGGCGTGGTGGCAGGCACCTATAATCCAAACGACTCAGGAGGCTGAGGCAGTTGAATTGCTTAAACCTGGGAGGCGGAGCTTGCAGTGAGCCGAGATCGCACCACTGTACTCCAGCCTGGGCGGCAGAGCAAGACTCCGTCTCAAACAAAAACAAAAACAAAACAAACAAAAACAAATCTCAGTGCTTTTGATGAACAGTATTTTCCTGCACCGGGAGCCTTGTGGTCGTGGCTTCATGGAGGAGGTGTTGGTGACTTTCATTCACTCACTCACTATTCTACAAGTGTTTCCTTGGGTGCTTCTCCTTACTGTGAGTCTGCAGGGACTTGGAGGGAGACGCTGCGCCGGCCTCTGGGCCCAGGAGATGTAACATAAATGGCCATGCAAAGACAGTGGGTCAGGTCCCTCGTCAGTGGATTCCCATTCGAGGAGGTGCTCAGAGAAGGGGACAGACTTCCAGGAAGTGGCACTGAGGCGGGGGCAGATTTCAACAGGGGTGGGGCGTTCTTGGTGAGGAAACTGCATGAGTGACGGTTTGGAAGTGGGAGCGTCAGTGTCTTTTGGGGAGCCCGCGCTGCCTGGGAGGTAAGGGAGAGGTCCGAATGCCGTCGCAGACAGCCTGATGGTTTGCTGAAGGAGTCTGGATCCTTTTCAAGTCCCAGTGAAGCCTGGTGATATGGCCTTGGGCAAGTCAGTGGCTCTCTCTGCCTCAGTCTCCTCAACTGTAGCTGGGGGTAACAGTGAGACCCGCCTCAACGTGGTTGTGAGGAGGGTGGGGGGTGGGGGATGTGGAGAAAGTGCTAAGAACAGCGTCTGTGGGGCCGCAGAAGTGTTTTGCATAATGTCACCAAGATTAGTGCTATTTCTTCCCCAGAAGATCAGATGGAGACTCACGGAAGGTTTTTAACCTGTGGGGACGTGCGGCCAAATTGTGCTTTAGGAAGCTTATGCTGGCAGTGATGTGTGGTATGAAGGAGGGCAAGGGAGATGGGCCCTGTAGGAGGCAGATTCGGCCACCTAAGCCTGAGCTGATTAGGACAGGAGGGAAGGTGGAGGCAGTCAGCAGAGAAAGGAAGGGACGTGGGGAGGGGAAGCAGAGAGGAAGGCGTTGGAGGGACAGGGCCTGACTTAGTAACCCCGGGGCCTTGAGCAGTTCTGGACGAGGTGGGAGGGGAGTGAGCAGGGGACGGGAGAGACTCCAGCCCCACCAGGCTGAGCCGTGTCCACACCCTGCCGGGTCAGAGTTACTGCTGGTACCATCGGGAGGGTGGGCCAACCAGGCCCATCTGGCCTCTTGCCTGTCAGATGGTGGAAGCATGTCAGAGTTCTCAGAATCCTGGAGCCACTGAGAGCCGGAGGAGCCCTTGTCCAAGACTCAGGCTGTGATCGGAACAGGGTAGAAGGTGCTGCTTCTAACCCTGGGGCCTGCCTGTCTCCAGAATTTGGAGAAAAGGAAAGTCCTGGACTCCTCTCAAGCCAGGAAGGTGCTGACCAGGAGGGGAGGGTCAGGGAGAGGGGAGTCAGCAGGGACAGCTGCCTCTCCTCCGCCTGCAGGCCCAGGCCCTTCCTAATCTCCAGCTCCACCAGCTTCAAGGCAGAATCTGAATCCACACAGAGTCTGAGGTATCTTGGAAACCCTCTCCTTCCCTCTTGGATGTGTGGACTGTCAGACATTGTGAAGAGGAGAAGAGGAAGAGGAAAGACGCTGCCCCCAGTATGCAGACAGAGAGCACCCCGTTCCAGAGAGGCCAGCGCTCCAGGAGTGACAGCTGCTAATGCCCTTCTTCCTTCAGTCTCCCTGCCCCAGCTACCCTCTCCCTCCCTCCTCTCCCTCCTTCCCTTTCTTCCCGCAGCAAAACACACGGAGCCCAGTGATCTGCAGGCACAGTGCCGGGCCCTAGCGCTCCATGGGCACAAGTGACAGCTGTGGCCGAGGTCGGGGAGGGTGCTGGACTGGAAGCCTTGGGAGGCTCTGAGCACACAGGATTTGGGGCTGATACTATTGAGGGTCAGAGGCTGCTGGACTGGGTTGTAAAGCATCTGAGGCTTTGAAGACCATTTGGATAATTGGGTGTTGCAGGCTCAGGGTGAGTTTGGGGCTTCCTGGAGACTTTGGGGTGCAGAGTAGCCCCTTCCCAGGCCGGCTCTCTGCCTGCCTTTGGACCTGGGATGTTTCTGCTGGGAAGCAAGTGGACTGGTGCCTTGGAGAGGATGCCTGTGGGGAGGGGCTGGACTGCTCACAGGGCCTCCTGATCCTCGTTTCTCAGTGTCACTGATGTTCAATTCTGAAAGTTCTGCCTTTAGAGTTATCTCAATAGCCCAATGTGCCTCCTTCCTGGCATGGTTGTCCAGGGGCAGACACCCTTCTGGGGTTGGCCTGTTTGGGAGAAGCCTGAGATCTGCAGAGAAGTCTGCCAGGCGGCCTGGGACTAAAAGCTGCAGAAGGTGGGGCATGAGGAAGCAGTGGGCAGGCAGAAGGAGTGGGCAGGTGGTCTGCTGCTGCCTCGGGGATGCAGCTTGAGCTGGACTTTCTGCCTGGCTCCGTCTTGTCACCGAGTTCGCAGCATAAACGTCATCCCTCAGAGACGCTGACTCGATCTCTAATAAAAGCTATCAGCCTGTCCCCCTTTACTACGAGACCCCTCTTAGCTCTGCAGAGCATCCATCACAGTTAGGCATTTTTGCCTTTTTTTCCATCCACCCACGCTTCCCACCCCACCAGGACGTGAGCTTGGACTTCATCTTGTCATCCCAGCAGCAAGGAGTCGATTTTGCAGGATGGATGGAAAACACAGAGAGGACCAGCTGTTTCATTTCTAGGCACCTCACTTCTAACCTGGAACCGGTTCCGAGAGGAAGGACCAGGAAGACCCATGTGTCGGGAATGGTGGACAGAAGGAGTGTGCTCAGCTGCCGCCGAGAAGACCACACGCTGGGTGCTGAAAAGATGGGGGGACCTGCTAGGAACCATGGCCCTGGGCTAAGTCGGGGATGAAGGCGGGAGCTGCTGTGCTGGACTGCAGCTCAGCACAGAGACAGTGAGCCTAGATTGCAGAGCTGCCCAGGGAGGGATGTCACCTTGGGGGATGGAGGCTGCAGGTGCTCCTCAGACCTTAGGGAAACATTTGGGAGGGAGCTTGTTGAGGAGATACAGGCACCTCAGGGTGGCTGGGCTGGATGGACTTTGATGACCCTTCCTTTTTTGAGACCTGATGGTTCTCTAATTTGGGAATCATTTCCAAAGATGGGTCTAAAAATCCTTGTTTCATTGGAAATAATGAGTTTGCTATGATGCTTAAGACCAAGCATGTCACCATTTGTTATTACTGCACTTTTCCCTGCCGTTTTCCTTTCCTTTTATTTTTAATGGATGATGTTAGGTTGCAATGACATTTTGTTTCTATATAAATATTTAAAGGTCTTCATAAACATATAAATGTCTTCATACATTTTTGTTTGCTTCTAGAACAATGTGTATCCTACTATTGTATTTTTGCTACAGTATATGAACGTGGAGGTGTGCATAAGACAGTAAAACACTATTCACCAAAAGATAAAAAAGAGATATTTGCAGGATGTGGAATTATGAACATTTTTTTGTTTTTATATGTTTTCTAATTTTGCTTCAACAAGCACATACCTGTTTTTACAAAAGAAGAAAAACAGATGATGAATAACATAGGTGCATCATTTATATCCACGATGAGCCAGAGCCAGCTCCTGACTCATGAGACTGACTTTGTGAGCTCTTCACTGCTGCAGGGATACAGCTGCATGAAATACAATGAATCAGCTGTATCACGTTGGCAACTTGAAACTGGCCCTGGTGGTAGTATTTACACCACAGCAATTGGCAAATGCTACAAATCAGGTCCTTTTTCCCTTGGAAAGCTGGTTGTTAACCATGTACCAGTCCACCGCTATTTATATTATTCATCAATCAGTAAAAAATATTTAAGCAGTAGAGGGGTATGGGGTATGGTTTTCAAAATCCGTAAATGACATGAAAAATAATTTGTTTTCGAGTTTTCCATAACTACAGAGCTTTACAGTTTCTATTCCTCCCTCACATACATGATCTCATTTAATCCTTAGGACAATGCTAAAATATTCTTATTTTATAGATGAAATACTTATTTCAGATTTTATGACAGGTAAACTCTGGTAGAATTGGATTGTTCTAGATGAACTGGATGTTCTACTAGAACATCCACATTGACTTTGAGAAATTCGGAATGCCTCTAAAAGCCACCTAGAACTGGAGTTTTCGTCTTTTCTGAGAGTTTTAAATGTGTAGGAGAACTTTTTGAAAATCCTCCATCAGTATAAAATCATTTCAATTGTGTTTCATGAGGCTGCAGTTGTGTAATTTTGACATTTCTTTCTCAGTGTCCACCCCTTCTCCGCTCAGCCTAGCACCATGTGCATCCCACCCTCGTTCCTTCAAGACCTTTCCTGTGGCCTGATTGATTGTGCTAAGGGCCCAGTTTGGTCTGGACAGGAAGACAACAGAAGGGAGTGAGGTCAGAGGGGACCGTTGGATGGAGGGTTGGAATGTGAAAAGGGGTCACCAGCAGATTTCAACACAGGTACTTTTTGCCTGGAGCATTTAGGACCTGATGCATTCCAAATAAACAATAGGTTTTTGCTTTTGTTTTTGTTTTTTTGAGACACGGTCTCTCTCTGTTGCCCATGCTGGAGTGCAGTGGCACATTCCTAGCTCTCTGCAGCCTCAAACTCCTGGGCTCAAGCAATCCTCCCACCTAGGGCTCTTGCGTACACAGGACTGCAGGTGCACACCACCAAGCCCAGCTAGTTGTTTCTTTTTTTCTTTCTTTTTTTTTGTTTTTGAGATGGAGTCTCATTCTGTCACTCAGGCTAGAGAGCAGTGGCACAGTCTTGGCTCACTGCAACCTCCTCCTCCCGGATTCAAGTGATTCTTGTACCTCAGCCTCCTGTGCAGCTGGGATTACAGGCCGGTTCATTTTTGTATTTTTAGTAGAGATGGGGTTTTGCCATGTTGGCCAGGCTGGTCTTGAACTCCTGACCTCAGGTGATCCACCCGCCTCAGCCTCCCAAAGTGCTTGGATTACAGGTGTGAACCACCGCGCCCGGCCTTGTTTCTTTTTTTTTTTTTTTTTTTTGTAGAGATAGAGTCTTGCTATGTTTCCTTTGCTGGTCTTAAACTTCTAGGCTCAAGGGATCCTCCTGCTTTGGCCTCCCAAAATGCTGGGATTATGGACCTAAGCCACCCTGCCAGGTCCAAATTTGATGTCCAAATGCAAACAATCCCAGTGACTGAAAATAAACCAACAATGTATTTGGAAAAATTAGTATGATACACAATTTAGGATAAAATGTTTGGGAAGAAATAAGCAAAAGTTGAGGATATGTTGCTGTCATTTGTGATGTTGGCATGAATATCATGGTGGGTCTCATTTTGAGTCCCTTTAAAAGCCACTTTGTTATTTTTATGCTTCTGATACTTAGATTCCCAGAGAAATAGTCATCTACTGTATTTTAGAAAGTAGAGTGGAAATTTATCTTAAACTACAGAGGAGAAAAAGGTCAAACTTCAGTATTTTGAGTTAAATGTACACATTCATTCAGTAAATGTGTTTGGATAACTGTTGCGAAGGCTCTGATGATGTGATATGAACAGGACAGAAATGGTCTCTGTCCATGCAGAACTTACCGTTCACTGGTGAGGGGGCCGTGGGTTGAAGGGGGTCTCCAAAAGGGTATGTCCAGGCTCTAACACCCAGTCATGTGAATGGGCCCTTATTTAGAAATAGGGTCTTTGCAGATGTAATTAAGGATCTCGAGGGGAGATCAGCTGGATTTAGGGTGGGCCGGAAATCCACTGACTGTTGTCCTAAGAGAAGGGGACACAAACACAGAGACCCAGAGACCGCGGTCATGTGAAGACGGAGGCAGAGACTGCACGGAGGGGTCCTGGCTGCCCTGGATGATCAGAGAGATGTGGAGGGATTCTCCCTCAGGGCCCTGCCTGTTGCAGGTGGTTAATCAGGCACCAGCCGGGCAGCAGAGGGCTCCCCTGCCACCCACCAGGAATGTCAGGGGATCATCGGGTGAGAGTTCAGCAGTTATCCCACCGCCTATCTAAAAACAATCATTGATCACAGGCTCCAGGGAGAGGTGATTCCCCAAACAGATAAAAAGTCTCGAGATGTGTAATCGGCTTCCAACAAAGTCTCAGAAATGGGGCGAGTAGGCTCGGGGATGGGCATTAAGAGACAAAACGGAGGAGTACGGCCTTTGAGGGCACTCCACTGGAAAAGGGAAGAAAGTCTCAGGGAGGGACACCCACCACTTCCTAAACTCAGGGCTCGGTGTTGGCCTCCCGGGGCTGAGGAGGGCACCGCGTGTGCAGGCGGCCCACCCTGAGGGAAAAAGCACGGAAGAGGAACGGGACCCCGGAAGGATGCCAATGTTTCCAGCCCCAAATCCAAAGGTCAAAGGCTGCACTCGTCCTTCCAGGGGTCCGCTTGGGTCTCTTCCAGTTGTTCTTCCCTTTGTTTCCTGCTCCAGAGCTTTTTAATAAACTTCCACCGCTGCTCTGAAATTTGCCTTGGTCTCTTTTTCTGCCGTATGCCCCTCTGTTGAATCCTTTCTTCTGAGGAGGCAAGAATTGAGGTTTTTGCCGACTTGCCAGTAACTCGGATATTTGCCACCCCTAACATTCCCACACCTGTGGCTCAGACTTCTGGCCCCCAGAACTGAGAAACGACACATTTCTGCTGTTTCAGGCCACCCAGTCTTGGTACCTTGCTACATAGTTGTAGGAAACCAACACAAGGGGGTAAAAAAGGGCCAGACATGTTGTTACAAGTGCATGTCCTGAGGAGAAGCACGCTGGTGCCTGTGGCGTCCTCACCGCAGAGCGACCTGCAATGAGTCCGCCGCTGCCCAGGTCTCCTCCCGTGTCCTGGATCAACACAAATTAGGAAAATGAAATGAGTGGTTACACAGCAACTGTGTTTGGTAGAAAGACATTTCAGGAACACGGGATCCTTGGCCGGAAGAGAGTTGGGAGCCGTGCACCAGATGTTCTGAGAGCCCCTCCAGCCGTGAGGACGGAGCCCACCAGATGTTCTGAGAGCCCCTCCAGCCGTGAGGACGGAGCCCACCAGATGTTCTGAGAGCCCCTCCAGCCGTGAGGACGGAGCCCACCAGATGTTCTGAGAGCCCCTCCAGCCGTGAGGACGGAGCCCCCAGGCCTCAGGGGGCGAAACGTGAGGCCCTGAAGCAAGAGCTGGGGAGTGGGGCCGGCCACGGGTTCATCTTGAGCCCAGCCCTGCTGACAGCTTCTGAGTAAGAACGGGAGATGGGGCCTCCTGTTCTGCGTGGCCTCTCAGAAAGTCCGAGAAGGATCTCAGCACAGGAGAAGCTTCATCCCTTGGTGTCCTTGGGGCTGTCACTCATGACCTGCCACCCCAGGGTTGGATAGGGTGGGTGGAGATGGGAGGTGATGACCTCGGGGCCCTCCAGGGAGGGGAAGGCAGGAGGGGTCAGCCCAACCACTGCCAGGAGGGGAAGCCTCAGGACCGCCCTGTGAGGCGGGAGGGCCTTCACCAGACTGACTCTGCCCTTCCCACTGAGGGGCTCAGATCAGCTTCATGAGTGGCAGTGGACAGCTGAGCTACTGAGTTCTAGAAGGCACCGGGCATTGGTGGGGCAGAGCCTCACGTGGACCCACGTGGGGAAAGAAGCAGAGGCTCCGTCACGGGGAGTTGTCGTGACCTTGAACTTGGCATCATCTTTGAAGAAGCTGAAGGGAAAGAAGGAATGACAGGTACGAGAGGGGGTCAAAGTGTTTTGTGCGTGTTTGAATTGGAAACACGTGCCTGGGTTCCATGTTGGGCAGAGCCTCTTGGACATGGTTTTCTCATTTGCAAAATGGAGACAGGGACACTTCTTCCTCTGCTTTATCACGCAGTCCTGGGTCAGGGCCACTCTGGGCCTGGTGGAGTGTGGTGCAGGTGCCGTGGCAGGGGACAGCTGTGGTTGGTGGAGTGTGGTGCAGGCACCATGGCAGGGGACAGCTGTGGTTGGTGGAGTGTGGTGCAGGCGCCGTGGCAGGAGACAGCAGTGGTTGGGGTAGTGCTGTGCACATGCCGTGGCAGGGGACAGCTGTGGTTGGTGGAGTGTGGTGCAGACACAGTGGCAGGGGACAGCCGTGGCTGCACCTGTGTCTTCGCAGGACAGGTCCCTGTGAGTGGGGCACTCATCTCCCGCCCATCAGGGCCCTGGGCTTCGGGGCCTGGGGCCCCGAGAAGATGGGCTGTTTTTATTTCTGTAGCTTCGGGTGGAGGCTGCCTAGTCTACCCAGGCCACTCGGCTTCCTTCTCTGGGTTTTCCATGAGGCAGAGGGGATTTCCTATCAGGAACCACCGTGGTATCTGTCAGGGCCTGTGGGGAGGGATGTTGGAAACAGAGCCCCTTATCTCTCCCAAAACACAACCCTGGTGCCTTGCTGTGGGCGGGCGCTGGAAAATAAAAAGTCTTTTTAAGCAGGTACTTTTAGACCAGAGGATTGTATTTGTGGGTGTGTTGTAATTATCACGGGGAAGTAGCTAAGGCATCTGGGGAGGAGAGGGGAGAAAGAAACAGAAGAATAGTGAAAATAGTAGCTTTGAAATGGACCACAGAGATCTCCAAGGGTTTGCCAGAATTTTGCTATGTGCCACTGATGGTGTCTGAGGGATTTCAGGGCTTGTGAGGGAAACAGAAAAGGAGACAGCAGACCCTTCTCAGAGCCAGAGAGGCCCAGGCAGCGCTTACTGACATTATTTTGTTTTCCGTATATACTTATTATCATTTCCTTCTATATAAAGCAAAGGAAGCTGGTTTTCCATTTAGAATAATCACATAAAGTGTTCATTTAAATTACGTTCACTAAAGACAGAAACTGTAGATTTGAAACTATTGAGTAGATAATGAATGAAAAAGTGCAAAACTGTGGCAGTGGCACAAAATTAGTGGGCCTGTGGGAACGCGATGTAATCCCAGCCTCTCATGTTCCTGGAGAAGAGGCCAAGACCACGGCGGGGGGCTCAGCCAGGGGCCTCCAGGAGAGAAGGACGCAGTGCAGCCAGGGTGTGAGGGGGCTGGAGGAGACGGACAGAGACATAGGCCTCAGAGGAGAATCGCGAGGGTACAGAAAGGGACCTTAACCGACCCAGACGCTCTCATGGATGGCTCTTGCCCAGCTCCAGGGGAGCCGAGGCCATAGACAGTTGCAGGTGGAGGGAGAGAGGCCCTCGGCGGCCTAGCTCTGGTCCTGCAGGCCAGGCGGCCCCCCTGCCCTGGCTCCTCAACACCTCCTGGTGAGGAGGCTCCCCTGGGAGAGGACACAGCACCGCTTACCTCCCACCCCTTGATCAAGTCCCGGGGACAGCCCCCAACCCATGCCAGAGGCAAAAACCTGGCCCCAGCCACAAAACGGACTTTCTGAAGATACAGCTTCCAAATCTTGTGATTCATTTTGCTAGAGGTTTTCAAAAATTCTTTGAGGCCTCAAAACTGCTTTTGCTTATCAAGAAAAGAGCGGGGGCCATGTTTTGTCCATGACCCATAGATTTCCAGCCTACCCAAAGGGAGGCAGAGGAGCAGGGAGACTAGAAGAGGTGGGTGCCGTCTGTCCTGAGGTAAGGAAAGAAGAGAGAGCACTCAGTGGCCTTGTGGTCTAGGACAGCTGGAGAACGGAGATAAACTTAAACAAGTCCAGGAGGAATTCAGGGTAGATGCCCAGGAAGGTCATGTGGTAAACCTGCGTGGGCTCTGCAGGGGCTTGGACTAAGTCACTTCTGGAAGCCCCTTTATGCCCCAGAAGTCTCTCTAGACAGAAGTCTCATGTGGGGGTGCAGGAAGGCAAGTGATTTTCCCAAGGCTGGTCCTTTCTCTCTGCATCTTACTGCCCGGGTATGCTTCCTGCATACAGAGGCCAGGAGCGTAGCGGCTGAGAGGTGACTCTGGCTCTGGTGGAGCCCTCTCTGCAGAGACTGCAGCAAGGACTGGCCCCCAGGGCGGGGCGGCGGAGGCCCTGCCCAGGCCCAGGGCAGGGGGTAGCTGAGTTTAGGGGTCCCCTGGGGACCACCAGGTGATACCTGCAGAAGATCACAGAGCCTCACAGGTTGGGACTTGAACCTGGGACTTTGGTGAGGTGCACGAGCTCCCCAGAGGGGTCCAAAGGACAGATGGACAAGGGAGCAATGACTGTCCTTAGAGACTAAGGATCCTCAGATGGCAGGACTCGCTCACTGGACAGTTTTCCAGGCCTGTGCTTAGCTGAGTAAATTAACACGTCTAAGGACAGAGCGTCTCTTTGTCAATGGGGCACGTGGATGAGGGGGTACCTGAGATACGGACGTGGGAGAGGGAGAGCCTGCAGGCAGCCGCGCACGCCAGTGTGCAGGGAGATGGCATCTTGGCTTAAATATTTCAGTCCCAGCAGCTGATACCTTCTCTCATGGTGTTAGCTGAGCAGCTGAGAAACTTTTCTTAAATCCGTGTAAATTCCTTTCATTTTGGTTATGCTATTTACCATTTCCATGGACTTCAAACATTTCAGCAGTGAAACACTTAAAAAAAATCAGGTCACATGAGAAGGACCCAGAGAGAAGTGGTTATGGGTTAGTATAAATTCATTTTGCTAGAGGTTTTCAAAAATTCTGAGTATGAATTTATTCCTAAATTCAGATCTGGAACACGGACTTAAGATGAGCAGCCTCCCGGCCTTTCCTGGGAGAACTGCTCAGCACAGTTAAGTCAGTTAATCCCCATGACTTCACCCCGTGGGTGTCGGAGCTGGATCACAGCCGCTCTGAGCAGAGCACTGGGGTTGCAGCTTCTGACTGGGGGCTGATATTTGAAGCCCCCATTTGCTATCTCTGTCCACGGCACCTTGACATGTAATCCTCATGTCTCCATCCCAGTCACTTGGTGAGGGACTGGGGTGCTCAGCTGCGGAGGGTCACGGCCCATCTCTTTGAGATGTCTGCTAATGCCCTCCAAGCTTCCCAGAGTAGATTTCAAAAATACCCAGCCAGCGAGTTCAGGTCAGACCATTCCAGCCTGACCCTGAAACTCAGGGAAAACATCTCTCTGGCCATTTTTTTGTGATGCAGAAACGGAGAACAGGAGCTTATTTATTTCATGCGCGTCCGTGTAAAGAGACCACCAAACAGGCTTTGTGTGAGCAACAAGGCTGTTTATTTCACCTGGGTGCAGGTGGGCTGAGTCTGAAAAGAGAGTCAGCGAAGGGAGATGGGGTGGGGCTGTTTTGTAGGATTTGGGTAGGAAAAGGAAAATTACAGTCAAAGGGGGTTGTTCTCTGGCGGGCAGGAGTGGGGGTCGCAAGGTGCTCAGTGGGGGAGCTTTTGAGCCAGGATGAGCCAAGAGAAGGAATTTCACAAGACAATGTCATCAGTTAAAGCAGGAACAGGCCATTTCACTTCTTTTGTGGTGGAATGTCATCAGTTAAGGCAGGAACCGGCCATCTGGATTGTACGTGCAGGTCACAGGGGATATGATGGCTTAGCTTGGGCTCAGAGGCCTGACATTCCTGTCTTCTTATAGTAATAAGAAAAATAAAATGAAAAGTGTTGGGACGGCGAAAATTTTGGGGGATGGCATGGAGAGATTATGGGCGATGTTACTCAGGGCTGCTTCGAGCGGGATTAGGGGCGGCGTGGGAAACTAGAGTAGCAAAGATTAAGCTGAAGGAAGATTTTGTGGTAAGGGGTGATATTGTAGGGTTGTTAGAAGAAACATTTGTCATTTAGAATTATTGGTGATGGCCTGGATACAGTTTTGGATGAATTGAAAAATGGAATAAGAAAAGGAGAAAAACAGGTATTAAAGGTCTAAGGATTGGGAGGACCTAGGACATTTCATTAGAGAGTGCCTAAGGAGATTCAGCATAGTCCTGCCAGCGAAGATTATTTATTTACTTGAAGAGTTAAGAGTGGCAGTATGGGGATAGCACCAGGAGATATCAGCTGTGATGGCTTGGAGAAACAGTGTAAACCAGCAGTGTAAACAAGAGCAGGGCATGTATGAGTAGTTGAGAACGGTGAATAGGAGTATGACTAGACAGAAGATAGTAGGGATGACAAGTTTTTTTGGGGGCACAGTCTAAGTTGGTCTGGTGTCTGGAATGAGACTGGGGCCTAATAAAAAGGAGCGTCCATACAGGAGCTCAAATGGGCTGTACCCTGTAGCATTCTGAGGACAGACCTGAATTCTGAGAAGGGAAAGTGGTAAAAGTATTGTCCAGTCCTTTATAAGTTGGTGGCTGAGCTTGGTGAGGTGTGTTTTTAAAAGATTATTAGTCTGCTCTACCTTTCCTGAAGACTGAGGACCGTAAGGGATATAAAGGTTTCACTGGATACTAAGAGCCTGAAAAACTGCTTGGCTCATTTGACTAATAAAGGCTGGTCTGCTATCAGACTGTATAGAGGTGGGAAGGCTAAACCGAGAATTGTCTGACAGAACGGAAGAAATGATGGTGGTGGCCTTCTCAGACCTTGTAGGAAAGGCCTGTACCTATCCAGTGAAAGTGTCAACCTAGACTAAGAGGTATTCTAGTTCTCTGACTCAGGGCATGTTGAGTAAAGCCAATTTGCCAGTCCTGGGCAGGGGCAAATCCCTGAGCTTGATGTGTAGGGAAGGGAGGGGGCCTGAATAATCCCTGAGGAGTAGTAGAATAGCAGATGGAACACTGAGAAGTTATTTCCTTGAGGATAGATTTCCACGATGGAAAGGAAATGAGAGGTTCTAAGAGGCGGGCTAGTGGCTTGTACTATAGCATAGCCTGCCTTTGCTGGTGTGTGGCGATTAGGCCTGGTGGAACCGCCATCAATAAACCAAGTGTGATCAGGGTGAGGAACAGGAAAGAAGGAAATAGGGGGAAATGGGGCGAATGTCAGGTGGATCAGAGAGATACAGTCATAGGGGTCAGGTGTGGTACCAGGAATAATGTGGGGGTCCGGATTGAAGTCCGGGCCAGGAACAATGGTAATTGTGGGAGACTTAACAAAGAGTGAGTACAGCTGAAGGAGCCGGACAGCAGAAAGTATATGGGTCAAGTGTGAGGAAGAAAATAGATTTTGGAAGTTATGAGAACTGTAGAGAGTGAGTTGAGCATAGTTTGTGATTTTGAGGGCCTCTAAAGTATTAGAGTGGCAGCAGCTGCTGCACGGAGACATGATGGCCAGCCTAAAACAGTAAGGTCAAGTTGTTTGGACAAAAAGGCTACAGGACGCAATCCCAGTCCTTGTGTAAGAATTCTGACTGCACAGCCCTGCACTTCGGCTGTGTGTCATGAAAAAGGTTGGGATGAGTCATGGAGAGCTAGGGTGGGGTCAGTCTCTAAAGCTGTCTTCAAGGAACAGAAAGAGGAGTGGGGAAAGGATTTAGGATCTATGGGGTCAGCTAGGTTTCCTTTTGTGAGTTTATATAATGGTTTTGTTAGGATAGCAAAACCAGGTATCTAAAGTCGAAAGTATCTAACCATGCTTAGGAAGGAAAGGAGTTGTTGTTTTGTAGAAGGGGTTGGGGTCTGAGAGATCAGCTGGACATGATCAGCAGGGAGAGCACGTGTGTTTTTATGAGAATTACACCAAAATAGGTAAGAGATGAGGAAGAAATTTGGGCTTGACTGAAGTAATGGGGGCTGTCTGTGAAGCTTTGCGGCAGTACAGCCCAGGTAATTTGCTGAGCCTGATGGGTGTCAGGGTCAGTCCAAGTGAAAGCAAAGAGAGGCTGGGATGAAGGGTGCAAAGGAATAGTAAAGAAAGCATATTTGAGATCTAGAACAGAATAATGGGTTGTGGAGGCAGGTATTGAGGATAGGAGAGTATAAGGGTTTGGCACCACGGGGTGGATAGGCAAAACAATTTGGTTGATAAGGTGCAGATCTTGAACTAACCTGTAAGGCTTGTCTGGTTCTAGGACAGGTAAAATGGGAGAATTGTAAGGAGAGTTTATAGGCTTTAAAAGGCCATGCTGTAGCAGGTGAGTGATAACAGGCTTTAATCCTTTTAAAGCGTGCTGTGGGATGGGATATTGTCAATGAGCAGGGTAAGGGTGATTAGGTTTTAATGAGATGGTAAGGGGTGCATGACCGGTCGCCAAGGAGGGAGTAGAGATATCTTATACTTGTGGGTTAAGGTGGGGGGATACAAGAGGAGGACACAAAGGAGGCTTTGGATTGGGAAGAAGGGCGGCAATGAGATGTAGCTGTAGTCCAGGAATAGTCAGGGAAGCAGATAATTTAGTTAAAGTGTCTCAGCCTAATAAGGGAACTGGGCAGGTGGGGATAACTAAAAAGGAGTGCTTAAAAGAGTATTGTCTAAGTTGGCACCAGATTTGGGGAGTTTTAAGAGGTTTAGAAGCCTGGCTGTCAATACCTACAACAGTTATGGAGGCAAGGGAAACAGGCCTTTGAAAAGAAGGTAATGTGGCATGGGTGGCCTCCATTTTGACTAAGAAGGGGACGGACTTACCCTCCACTTTGAGAGTCACCTAGAGTGTCTGTGATGGTCTTGTAGGCTTCTGAGGTGATCGGGCAGTGTCAGTCTTCAGCTGCTAAGCCGAGAAGATCTGAGAAGAAGTCAGTCAGACAGCCTTGGGCCAGAGTTCCAGGGGCTCTGGGAGTGGTTGCCCCGTGAGTTGAACAGTCTGATTTTCAGTGGGGTCCTGCACAGATGGGATGTGGCTTAGGAGGAATCCTGGGCTGTGGGCATTCCTTGGCCTGGTGGCCAGATTTCTGGCACTTGTAGCAAGCTCCTGGGGGAGGCGGGCCTGGAGGAACACCTGGCCACTGCGGTTTAGGTGTTTGGAAGTTCTTGTGTGCTGGAGATGTGGCTGGCATTTGTCTCACAGTGGAGGCAAGGAATTGCAACTCAGAAACATGTTGCTACTTGGCTGCCTCTACTCTATTGTACACTTGAAGGCTAGGTTAATGAAGTCCTTTTGTGGGGTTTGAGGGCCGGAATTTAATTTTTGGAGCTTTATTTAATGTCGGGAGCAGACTGGGTAATAAAATAAAATGTGTATTGAGAATAAGAAGGCCGGGCGCAGGGGCTCATGCTTGTAATCCCAGCACTTTGGGAGACCGAGGCGGGTGGATCATGAGGTCAGGAGATCGAGACCATGGTGAAACCCCATCTCTACTAAAAATACAAAAAAATTAGCCGGGCGTGGTGGCGGGTGCCTGTAGTCCCAGCTACTTGGAGAGGCTGAGGCAGGAGAATGGCGTGAACCCGGGAGGCGGAGCTTGCAGTGAGCCGAGACTGCGCCACTGCACTCCAGCCTGGGTGATAGAGCGAGACTCCGTATCAAAAAAAAAAAAAAAAAAAAAAAAAAAAGAGAATAAGACGGCCTTCTGACCTTTCAGGGTCTAGGGCTGTAAAGCGTCTCAGGGTTGTTGCCAAATGAGCCATGAACTGGGCTGGGTTTTTTATATTTGATGAAAAAGAGCCTAAACACTAACTGATTTGGGAGAGGTCGGATAAAGAAAAAGGAGCATTAACCTTGACTATGCCTTTAGCTCCAGCCACCTTTTTAAGAGGAAATTGCTGGGCAGGTGGGGGAGGGCTAGTCACGGAAAGAAACTGTAAGTCAGACCGGGTGTGAGGAGGGGAGGTGATAAAAGGATTATCGGGCGGAGGAGCGGAGGCTGAGGAAGAATTGGGACCTAGCTTGCCCTGGCTAGGAGGAGAGAGGTCAGATGGGTCTGTAGAAAAGGAAGATTAGAAAGACTCAGCAATGCTTGGGGTTGGGACTGAGGGGAGAGGCGGGAAGGAAAGAAGGAAGATTTGGGACCAGTTGCGTTGGGAACAGAGGCTAGGGAGGGACTGATGTGTAAAAGAATGCCTGGACGTCAGGCACCTCAGACCATTTGCTCATTTTACGACAAGAATTATTTAGACTTTGTAGGATGGAAAAAATGAAAGTGCCGTTTTCTGGCTATTCAGAGCCATTGTCAAGTTTGTATTGGGGCTAAGCAGTGTTGTAGAAGAAAATAAGACACTTAGATTTTAGGTCAGGCGAGAGTTGAAGAGGTTTTAAGTTCTTAAGAACACAGGCTAAGGGAGAAGAAGGAGGAATGGAGGGTGGAAGTTTGCCTATAGTGAAGGAGGCAAATTTAAAGAAAAGGGAGAGTAGAGACACGGAGGGAAGGGGTTTGGGGGTTCTTACCCTCTAGAAAAGCGGGAAAAGGGTCAGGGCACGGAAATAAGTGGTTGGGGCGCAGAGATAAGAGGTTGGGGCATGGAAATAAGGGGTTGGGGCACAGAGATGGGGGTTGGGGCACAGAAATAAGGGATCGGGGCACAGAGATAAGAGGTTGGGGTGTGGAAATAAGGGATTGGGGGTTCTTGGCCCCTAGAAAAGCGGGACTTGCCACTAAGGGTGAAGGAGAAGGGGTTGAGGGGTTCTTGCCCCTCCCCCAGAAAAGTGGAGAAGGGGTAGAGACACAGAGAGAACGGGTTGAGGTTCTTGCCCCTCCCCCAGAAAAGTGGGACTTGCCACTAAGGGTGAAGGACCAAGGCAGGCATCCCCGTGTGGTCAGACACCTCTGAAACGTGGGTGAATTATCAGAGAGGCATCCCTGCAATGATTAAACACCAAGGGAAGGCTGCCTTCCCAGTCCGTGACCAGCGCCGGAGTTTTGGGTCCACGGATAAAATGTGTCTCCTTTGTCTCTAACAGAAAATGAAAGGAATTGAAATTAAGAGAAGGAAGAGATTGAAGTGTGGTGCCAAGATTGAAAAGAGAAAGAGGTTGAGGGATAGTGAGGGAGGTTGGAGAAGAGAGTAAAAAGAGGCTGCTTACTGGATTTGAAATTGGTGAGATGTTTCTTGGGCTGGTTGGTCTAGACCTGAGGTCGTAGGTGGATCTTTCTCACGGAGCAAAGAGCAGGAGGACAGGGGATTGATCTCCCAAAAGGGAGGTCCCCTGATCCGAGTCACGGCACCAAATTTCATGCATGTCCATGTGAAGAGACCACCAAACAGGCTTTGTGTGAGCAACATGGCTGTTTATTTCACCTGGGTGCAGGTGGGCTGAGTCCGAAAAGAGAGTCAGCGAAGGGAGATGGGGTGGGGCTGTTTTATAGGATTTGGGTAGGTAAAGGAAAATTACAGTCAAAGGGGGTTTGTTCTCTGGCGGGCAGGAGTGGGGGTCACAAGGTGCTCAGTGGGGGAGCTTTTGAGCCAGGATGAGCCAGGAGAAGGAATTTCACAAGACTATGTCATCAGTTAAAGCAGGAACAGGCCATTTTCACTTCTTTTATGGTGGAATGTCATCAGTTAAGGCAGGAACCGGCCATCTGGATTGTATGTGCAGGTCACAGGGGATACGATGGCTTAGCTTGGGCTCAGAGGCCTGACAACTTATATTAATGAAAATAAAGTTAGTAAATGGAAGCAATGCAGCATCATGGGGAATGCATGGAATTAAAACTGGGAAAAATGTGTGATGATCACAGGCTCCTTCCAGCCACCGCGCCGCCAACATTTGCACCGAACACTCATGGGTCCTCCCTGGCACAGGCTTGGTGGGACCCACTCACCACTGTCCACTAACACGTGCCCTGGCTCCCAGCCACCTTAGGCACAGGCAGAGGAGGGTGTCCTGGCAGGTGGTGGCTGTCATCATGGACACTGCAGATGGGGGTGCTAGTTTCCTGGACTGTCCCCTTGGGCTTTGTCACTGCAGCCACTGATGCAACTCTGGGCCTTCCAAGTAAGGCAGCACCAAGCAGGGCCCTAGAAGGGCCAGAGATGCTGCTGCTCTGTCACCTCCAGGGAGCTTGCTTCTCCCTTCTAGAGCAAACACACGGCTAAACCATGGAGGAGTTTCTCCCTGGAGGCTGGCGATCTGGGGCCTTGCAGATCAGCAGCGGGAGAGAGCCCAGGAGGGCCTCCGTGAGGGGGACCCTACCTGTCTGCCCGCGGCCCCATGGTTGCCCACGCATGCTTAACCGGGATCTGAAGCAGAGTGGATCAGTAGCAGGATGGGCCAGGGGTGCTAGGCCTGGACTATCCCCCCAGTACCCTGGCTGCCTGCTTTCGCGGCTGAGAGCCCTGTCTCTGGTCCCTCTGTCCTGAGCCGTCCTGGGACTCTAGGCTTGAGTGGCATGGTAGGGCCCGGCAGTGACTCCACCCTAAGCCTCTTTCTTCTCCTCCTCTCCTCCCTTGTGGGCATGGTCCGGGCCGCCTGTCCCACTCCATTGGTCTCAGCACCTGGAAGGCTTAGCATCCGGACTGCCTGTGGGACCAGGCGTAGCTGTGTGCCGCCCCTGGCTCTGCCGCCCACCGGGCAACCTTGAGCACATCCCTGAAGCCTCAAACCTTCAATCATCATGAGGATTAAATAAAATAGTGGGTTGTGTTTAAGGTGCCTGGAAAAGTCCTCTCCTGGGACCTGGATGTTGGGCCTCTGCTCCTGATGGCCCTCACTGTGAAGACTGCGGGAGTCTCTCCAGCCCTCCCACATCCCCTGAGGCCAGAGCCTGCTGGGGCATGAGGTCATGCCAGCCAGAGCATCCACCCCACTTTTAGAATGTGTTTCTGGCGGGGGTTGAGGGGAGCTGGATTTCCCTTCCTGTGTTTGCTTCTGACTGTGGGACTAGCTGTGTGGGGTGTAGGGTATGTGGGCAGACATGGGGTTGAGGGCAGGGCATGTGCGAGGCCTCTCCGTGCAGGACAGAGCTGGGTTGGGAGGAAGGGGACAGACTGTGGGCTGCTGGCCTCCACTTACGGTTCTTTTCCTGCACCCTGCGGAGAGCAGGAGCAGGGCTGGGTGAGACAGTGGGTGTGCATCAGCGGTGGCTCTCACTGTGTTTCTATTGAACCATGATGCTCATGCATCTGACAAAGCCTACACTGTTGTTATGCATGGGGATTAGGATGATCAGAAGCATTCTGGTGTGAGAGAGATGAGGGGGAAGGAAGAAGAGACAGAGGAAGGAGGAGGGAGGGAGTGGAGGGAGAAAGGAGGAAAAGCGACTGAGCCCCACACTGTTCATTGTGTGGCCGGGGTGGCAGTGTGACCAACACTGAGCTGGAGGGAGGAACTGTGCTTGTCCCCACGTCCGAGCCACCCAGGAGCTGTTGCTAGAGATGCATTGATTCCCTCCTGGGTCTGTTTCCCCTGCCATGAAATGAAGCAAGGTTGAGTAAGATGGGGACATTCAAGGTCAGCTTATTTGCTGGTGTTCCCTGGGACATGGGATCCAGGGACAGAGGGCAGCCGGCCTCAGGCCTCAGACTGCAAGCAATGCCTGATGAGTGTTTATGTGGCCTGCTTGGCCTGCTCCTCTGTTTTGGGCCTCAGGGGATGAGGTCTTGGTGCCTTTTCTTGAGATTTGCTGCTTCTTTATTCTCTCTGGTTTGGGCCAAATTAGAGAGCTCTGATGAGTTCCTTCTGGCCTGGCTTTCCCAGTGGTGCACACCATGGTGACAACCCAGCCAACTTTCAGGACTTGGAGTCCTTACCCATTGCTGCACAACAGACTACATGAAAATCGAGGCTTCAAAGCACAATAAACAGGCATTCCCCCACATTTCTCTGGGGGCTGCTCAGCTGGATGGCTGTCTCAACATCTCCCATGAGGCTGCAGCCAGAGAGCAGCAGGTGGGGCTGCATCATCTGAAGGCTCGACTGGGGCTCCATCATCTGAAGGCTCGACTGGGGCTCCCTCCTGCAGCAGGCAGTGGGTGCTGGCTGTCTGCGGGAGGCCTCAGTTTTTCCTGTCTTGGACCTCTCTGCAGGGGAGCTCAAGTGTCCTTATGAATACTGGCTTCCTCCAGAGCAGGAGGTCCTGGACAGGGTAAGCAGAGGCAGAACTGTCTCTTATGGTGTAGCCTCCGAAATCACATTCTATCCCTTTTATCTTACTCTGTTGGCCTTGCTCTAAGTTACTGGCCCTGACACCTTGTGGGAAGGGTGTGAATCCTGGGAGGTGAGGTCCTCTGAGGCCTCCTGGAAGGCTGGCTCCTGGAATGCTGGGTCTGAGAGGCTCTGAGTCCCTGAGCAGCTTGTTCGCTGAGCCATGGACTCTGGCTCATGCAGAGCTGAAATCAGTCAGTCTTTACAGCTCACTCAGCAAACAAGTTTGAACACATTCTGTGTCACGCAAAGTGGTAGTTTAGGGGGACACACAGACCAATAGACTTGGAGACTTGTAGAGAGGGCAACACCCAACCTGGGAAGTGTTTGATGTTGGGGGCAGGAACCTAAGACCAGAGCATGGGGTGGGGCCCAGCAAGTAAAGAATGGGCTTCCCCAGGGACTCAGGGAAGGCTGCCTGGGAAAGGGAAGGCTCAGCTGCATGTGGAGGGGTACAGGGGATCCCGGCAGAGGGTGTTGGGGAGGGGGAGGCACAGCCCTGCAGGCAGGGGGACCACAGTGAGCAAAGGCACAGCCGGCCTGGCTGGTCAGAAGATTCAAGGTGCTGGGCACTGCCGGAGTTAGGGTGTCATTTCTCCACAGTATGCCCGGATTCCAGAACCTTCCAAAACAACAAAAAATTTCTCCTGCTTTGTAAAAATCCTGTTAAGTCAATGGTTAACTTGTTTGTTACTGCAACCAAGAAGCTCATTAGAAAGTTCTGGAGAGACTCAGCCCTGGAGGACCTGGGTGTAATGTTGGGCCAGCCAGAATGAAAGAAATAGTTTCCATCATGGAAAAGATTGTCTCAGGCTCCTTCGCTGCAGGCGAACATAGCTTCGTGGCTTTCGGGCCCCCTCCCCACTTGCTCTCAGCTAGGGTGTGCATGCATGTGTATTTATAGGCCCATGTGTCATTTTCCTTTGTTTTGGAAGAGCGTACTACCCACAGGGATCAGCAGAGGCTGCAAAGAACCCGAGGGACTCACGGGCCTGCTGGGGCTGGAAAGTTTAAAGGCTGCTTTGAGCTTTCGGTTCCATCTGCCACCCCATAAAATGCACATCTATGCGCATTTGATGGATGGAAAATAACACACCATCTATTCATTTGTACGCGTGGTGTGTGAGCTGCCGAGGCCTCTCCCTGTGGTCTGTCTGTTTCAGAGCTGCCTGTCTTGGATTATATATTCCTAGTGGGCAGAGACATTCTGCTAATCCTAACCCTCCTGCCCGGTGCACAGAGAGGCACGCGTGAAGTTTTGCAATGTGATAGAAAACAGGAGAGGCCTGCAGGCTACGTCAGCCCCATTGATGTCTTGTTCCCCTTTATCAGAGTTGCCCTGGGAGGCCCTGGCCCTCCCGGCCTCCCCCTCCCCTCCTTGACAGTCCCTCCTGGCTTCTTTCCTTCCCTTCCCCCACCTTGGGTAGGGAGCAGAGGGCTGAGCTCACACCTGGAAATCGCCCAAGACAAAGAGAACCTGCCTAAGAGTCTGCCTAAGGGGTGGGGACAGCGAGGCCTGTGATTGTAGTTGGCAAAGGTAAGTGATGTCAGACAGCAGACGTTTCTCCAGCCCTGCAGCAGTTTCCAGGCGTGGAGGGAGGCCTGGCGCCAACTTCTCAAGTCACGTTCTTCAATGAACAGTTGTGGTTTGAACTGTGGAGAGTGGGGCCTGCAGGGGAGAGAGAAATGCACCAGCCAAAGGCTGCAGCCCGACCCTCCTGATCTCATCGCTCAGCCCTGCTGGGGAGGAGTCTGGGGCTGCAGCTCTGGGCGACTTCAGAGTGGACTGAGAGAGGAGAGGGCTGTGTTTCTGACTGCAGCAGGCGGCCTGCTTCCTCTCTGCCATGAGGCCGGGAAGAGGAGATACAAAGACAAGGGGAATCTGTCCCCAGGTTGGTTGACTCCAGGTTACCTGGAGCAGAGCCCAGGGACACCCACAGACTTGCCTGGGGGAGGAGGGCGAGGCTGTAAGTTCCCTCATCGCCCAGATCAGGGTGCTGCTGCTGAAGGCTGTGATTTAGGAAAACGCCAGTCCTTGCCTTTTACCTGGTTCTTTTGCAACCCCGCTCCCCGCCCACCCCAGTGAAAGGTTCACCCGCACAGGCTAGGGCGGCCTGGGGTTGGGCCCTGAGGCTCCTAGGCCTCTGGATGTCGAATTTTCCTAAGTAGTTATTGTCTGAGAGTGAGAGGTTGCAGCCCAGACCTCCAGATGAAAACAGCCTGGGCCGCTTTGCTCAGCATTTAAATTCAGCGTTTGTAGAATTTGCATGGTATCATTCCAGTTTTGATCTCCATAGATATGACTTGAAGGAAGTGTACTAATGCCATCTATTTTTCTGGGTCTGGATTTTTTTTATTGACTTTATGTTTTAAAGAAGTTTTATGTTCATAGTTAAATTGAGTGCTAAGTACAGAGTTCTCAAGCCTCCTCCGCCATCAACATCCCTACCAGATGGTGCGTTTGTTACAATCGGTGAAGCTACATGGACACTTCATTGTCACCCAGAGTCGACAGTTTACCTGAAGGCTCGTTCTTGGTGTTGTACATCGTGTGGGTTTGGACAAATGTATAACGACATAGCTCCACCATGATAGCATCATACTGATCATACTGAGTTGTTTCCCTGCCCTAAAAATCCTCTGCACTCTGCCTACTCATCCCTTTCTTCCCCCAACCCCTGGCGACTACTGATCTTTGCACTGTCTCCATAGTTTTGCCTTTATCAGAATGTCCCGTAGTTGGAGTCTTATAGGAAGTAAGCTTTTCAGGTGGGCTTCTTTCACTTAGTCATATGCATTCAGTGTTCTGTGTCTTCGCACAGCTTGATAGCCCATTTCTTTTCAGTGCTGAATCGTATTCCATTGTCTGCATGTTCCACAGTTCGTTCATCCATTCACTACTGTCTTAGTCTGTTCGTGCTGCTATAATGAAACATTGGAGACTAGGTAATTTATAAAGAAAAAAAATTCATGTCTCATAGTTCTGGAGGCAGGAAAGTCCAAAATGAAGTTGTTGGCAGATTTGTTGTCTGGGGAGGGCTGCTCTCTTGTTTTCCAAGATGGTGCCTTGTTGCTGCGTCCTCTGGGGGAGGTGGACACTTTGTCCTCACATGGCAGAAGAAATGGAAAGGAAAGAACCTTCTCACTCTCCCCAGCCTTTTTATAAGGGCTCTAATCCCACCTGTGAGGGCTCTGGCCTCATCACTTAATCACCTCCTAAAGGCCCCACTTCTTACTACTATCACATTGACCATTAAGTTTCAACATACAAATTTTCATGGACACATTCAGACCATACGTAGCACCTGCTGAAGAACATCTTGGTTCCTTCCAAGTTTTGGCAAGTATGAATAAAGCTGCTATAAACATCTGTGTGCAGGTTTCTGTGTGGATATAAGTTTTCAACTCAATTGGGCAAATACCAAGGAGCAAGATTGCTGGATTGCAGGGTAAGAGCATGTTTAGTTTTTTAAAGAAGCTGCCAAACTGGCTTCCATTTTGCATTCCTACCAGCAGTGAATGAGCGTTCCTGTTGTTCCACATCCTTGCCAGCAGCTGATGTTGTCAGTGTTTTGGAACTTGACATTCTAATTGGTGTGAAGCGCGATCTCATTGTCGTTTTAATTTGCAATTCCCTAATGACATATGATGTAGAACATCTTTTCATTTGCCTATTTGCCATCCGTATATCTTCTTCTTTTTTTTTTTTTGGTTTGTTTT